>NC_000012.12:40641946-40793461 GCF_000001405.40 Homo sapiens | reverse complement strand
ACAAGTAGGTGCTGACGGGGACAAAATGTGTAATTTCTTTCCCTAACTCTCATAGGTTCTTAGCTGGGACACTTCTGTAACAAAAGACAGACTAACAGGGGAAAAAAGCATACAAATTTCTCTTAATGTGCATATGGACACCGGAACTATGCATAAAGTGTGGGACTCAAAAGAAGAGCCAGATAGTTGAAGTTTGTATACCATCCTGAGGTTACAGAAAAAATAAAGGATTGGAGCATGGCAAGACAGGTTACAGAAGGCAAAGGAGGAAAGGTGTGGCCAGCAAGATGGTCTTGTTACTCAGATGAAGCCTCACAGGTAGCAGCCCTCAGAAAGATGAGACGCTAGCCTGTGGTAAGTTTTTCCATCAGACCTTTAAGATTGTTAGACTCTGAGTCTCTTTTTTTCTGTGAGTTAATCTTTTTTAGATGAGGCTAAGGAGGACTCCGGAGAAAGCCTGGCTGTTTATTTCACTAATGTAGATTTTCCCTACAAATGCAAATCTCCCCCCACAAAGGGAAGCTTTTCAGAGCTATTCCTGTGGTCTGTAACCCGTCTGAATAGTCATCTCAAAATAGGCCAAAGAAATATATTTTCGGGTGAAATATTTTTGGTTTCCTTCACTGCTGAAGAAATATTTACTTAATGAATACACAAATGAATAACATTTCCTAAAAAACTATATGCAAGGAATTTTGCCAAGGGTCTTGGAGGATAAAAATAAACAATTAAAACTAAAAAGACCCACAAAAGTCAACACCTCATAGTTCAATAATAAATATAAGACAAATAATTATATATCAAGATAAAAAGTAGAAGAGAGGTAGTCTTTGAAAATCAAGAATTTATTTTTTCCACTAACCCACAGATAAGTCTGTGTCCTCAAGGCTTTCTGTATCTATTATTTTAGTGCTGTGGTTTACAATAATTTTCATTTTCTGTCTTCTTGAATGTTTTTCATTACCTCCTTTTACATGTCCAGAGAAGAAAAGAAAGACAAATAAAAGTCATTAAATAGTAAACAAGTTTAAATAATAGATTTTAAAAGTAAAAAAGAAATGGAGATTTTTGTTATTATCAAGCACTTGTATTTTCTATAAAACATCTTACTTAATAGTCACAATAAGTAAAATAAGCATTGCCTCCTCATTTTACCACTGTCAACATGTGTGGTTCAAGGAGTTTAGGTAACATTCCAAACAAAATTAAAAAGTGGGTGGAGGAGCTGAGATTTGGGTGCTGCTGGGTCCCATTTCTCCCCAAAGCTCAACTCATGTGTTATTTCCTCAAGGAATCATCCTCTGAGGACTCCAGCCCCTATTGTTCTTTGCCTTTTCGGAATTCCTGCATGATCAGTGCTCCAAACCCTAATATTAATTTTTTTCTATGAATTCTTGATTATTTTTTCTAATAATTCTTCAGGTTAAATTGATTTCCTCACACAGATTATGAGCTATTTGATAAATAGAACAACATTGTGTTCTTTTGAATGGCCCATAAAACTCTAAACAGTGCTGAGCACATAGCAAGTACTCTGAAACATGAGTAGATTGATCAGACTACATCTTCAGGAGTTTCAGCCCTTATTTTATTTACATCAATATAAACATCTCTCCCAATCATTGAAATATCATGCAGTCAGCCATCATTTCCAGTGCTCAGTGGGAAGATGTGGGTAGGATACTTTCTGACATGTAGTATATTTTTGGAGACCATTTTTGCGTATCTTAACAAAGTGACATCTACGTTATCTTGTAGTTTCTACTATTTATTAGCTCTGTGCACAAGCTACATAATTCACAGTTTTTTGTGAGGGTTAAAAATGATTATAGATGTAAACGAACATTGTAGATTTTAGAGTAATAAAATATAGGTGTATGACTACAATATTTAAAGGAATAGTCTACATGTATTTCTTAGGTCCACCCAAATTTATTCCTAAGCTAGTCTGATAACTGAATCAACATCCCTTCATCAAAAGAAAAATTCAGTGCCCACATGTATTTTAACTGGTCTAGTAGAGAAAATGATCCAACTTTGGTTACAAAGAACAATTCAAGTGGTAAATTTGACCACAGGAATTTTAGACCATAGCAGAGAATTTGGGACATATTTTGGTAATTGAGGTGAGCAATTACTCTACGTATACGTATTGTCAGGAACAAGGTGATAAACCATCTCTGGAAATAAGACAATGACATGGGTTAAGCAAAATCAAAGGTAACTAATGCCATGTTAAAAGTGAGTCTCTTTTCATTTGCTAAAATATAAAACAAAAAAAGTTGATGAACTAAATATCTATCATAGGCATCAATGTGTGCAAATATTAAATTTGTGAAACAGAGCACTTAAAAAGGGTAGTTATTAACGCTAACGGAAACAAGTAATAACAAAATTGTTGTGAGAATATGAAATAAAGAATTTGAGGAAAGTGTTCTTTCCTAACCCCAGGCATAGACTACCGGAAAGCCTCTCTTTTACAAACTGTGGCTGAGACTAAAACGCAGGGATTCTATGAAGACAATCCTTGGCTAACTGAGAATAAAAGCCCAGACCTTAATTATTACAAGGGGCTTCCTTGAGTTTGAATTAAGGTCATTGATGTGAATTAGGTAGAATTAGTTTTGGGGGATTTTTTAACATGGAAAGAATTTTTAAAGGGGCTTCAGAAACAGACTTGGAGAGAAGAATGTATGGACAAAAAAAGATTCACATCGCAGCCTTTCTTGTGTTGGTTGGCGGTGGGACAGGAGATGTGGACAGAAAATTCTCCCCTAAGATTGGAAAGTGGTTTTGAATGAGGGGTGCTGTACACCCTTCTTGCCTGCAGTTTACTGGGCAGCAGTATCCCTGGTATTTTCAGTGCTGCTAGGGTCCAAAGTCTGGACAGCAGTGAGAAGGCAAGGAGGTACATACAGGCAGTGAGATGAGGACAAAGCAGTCTATTTTTCTAAGGGAGATAGTGATGCGCAGAGAAAATTCCTAGTGCCTATTCATTTAAATTCTCCATAGATGTTCATTGAAAGCTCTAATCTAGGGGTCAAGTTTTCTAAGAGCTCTTCTGGTAGAATGAAGTGATCATATCATAAAGGTGGTAACAGCTCACTGGGTCAAGTTGGGCATGTGGCTTCCTATCCATAACACTGCCCACCGCTGGAAGTTGTCGGGGAGATTCCCTGGCTCCTGAAGTTCATCTGTGTTGCCTTTTAGAGGAAGCAAGGGGCATCAGCTGGATGTGACAAATCTCAAAGGCCAATTGGGTCTGGACCTTAAGAGCAGGAGTCACATGTATTGCACAAGTCTTTCCATGTACTAGAATTTGCAGCTAGAAGGAAGCAGAGGGTCATGCAGCTGCTAGACTTCCTTAATATAGGCAAAGTGCATGCTATTAACACTAGCCCTGGGCAGCACACATGTGGGAAGATCAGCAAAATAATAGATTTATACAAGTCATGGGTCTGTGGAGGTATTTCAAGATTAGATGGAAGAAGAAATGTTAAGTTAGCAGATATCAAAGGTGTAAATCTAAAAAGTAAGAATCTTCCACGTGTTCCCATCATATTTTCCAAGGAAATATACAGAAATATGGAAATTTTACAAAAATGATAATACAATTATTTTAAGTTAAACAATAGAAAAAATTTGGTATAACCATGAGAAATGTCCACATTATATAAAGTATAGCATTAAAATAATATTTTTGAAGAATTTACAACATGGAAAAGTTCAAAATTCAACACAATGAAACATGAAGTAAAAAATAGGATATTAAAATTTAGGTATATATGAACTCAAAATATCTCAAAATGTTAACAAAAGCTTATCCATGAGATATGAGATTATGAGTTATTTCTTTTATTTTCCAACTTTTTCAACATGTGTGTGCATTTTTTAAATTAAAGAGTTCCTATCACAGCACAGCATGCATGTATTTTCTGTAATCCTTATAATGATCTTTTCATTGTCATCCCCTTTTTGCCAAATAAGGATCACTAAATGACTTGCCTGTTCCCTTGTCAGTATCAGTGGAGATTCAGAATTCAAATTTCAATTTCTTTAGGTTGTTTTCATTGCAACAGTATGCCTCTTACAAATGTATTCTTGCCTCACCATTTCTGAGAAAGAAGGGAACCCATTATTTCAAGTGTTCAAGAAAATTTCTAAGCAATTTAAGTGTTATTGACTGATGGGTGATTCAGTTATCAAAATGCAAATAGTTGGATTAGAAATTCATCTCCTTTCCTTGCCAAGCTTCTTCTCAGAGTAATAACTTTCATAGCAGAAAGTCACACAAAGAAATTTAAAAAGCAGATTTTATTATCTATATATGGAAAAAATCAATCTCAAAGTATTCACTGAAATAATAATTATATAGCAATTAATATGTAACTGCAAGGAATTATACTAAATAATCTGTGGATGTGAAAGATATATAAGACATAACTCCCTCTATAGATTCTATAATCTCATGTGGGATATAGTGAAAATGAAAAATAGCAATGAAGATCTAAATTAAAAATTAAGAATATCGAACACGAGAGAAAATTAACATGTATAAAGTGTCTACTATGTAGCGGGTACTTTACATATGTCATCTCATTAATCCTAACAATAGCACGATGTATGATATATGTGATGAGGCAGAACATAAAAGAAAGAGAAGCTTTACTAGTGAACTTAAACCTAGAAAGAACTTTAAACAGTCACTTTACTTGCCTCTAGTCACCTAGGAGGTATCTATTTCCCTGGGGGAAGGTAATAATAGGTCCTTTTATGATCTGCTAAATTATGGCTGACTCAAGCCTCCTCAAGATTGGGTCACAGAGGTGTTAGCAAATTTTCCAAGGGGTCATTTGGGGTTGTTGGAGAAGGATCCTTTTGTGATTTTAATGCTACCGGAACCTCTTTGAAGTCTTTCTGTTCTTGACTGAGGCTGCTGGCAGGAAAGGCTATCAGGAGCCCCAAATAGGTCACCATGAGGCAAAGGAGAGCATGGCCAGGCTCAGAACTGTGGTTTAGAGGCTCCTGCAGAAGGGCTGAAGCTGGCAGCCTTTCCTGTCCTGGCTACTGCATCAGGGTGGACATGTAGGAACACTGGCTGAGGTGCTTCTACATGACAGATGGTATCATGAAGCTCGCAAGTGTTGAGGAATCCGTTTCAGTAGCATGCAAAATCACCAGTTAGAATGTGCTGGGAACTATTTTTCCATAGCGGCTGTGTGTATAGTGACAGAAATCAATGGATGAACTTCCTGGTTTTCTCTGAGCCTGGCATTTGGAAGCAGGGCAGATAACATTAGATGGAGCAATTCTCTAGGAATCTTGGACGATGGGAGGAGACATTGGACTTTCTGCAAATATGCTCATGCCAAGTTTGGAGTTAATATAATTCAAAATAAAAAAGACTGAGTTTGAATTCTAGTATTTTTTTATTTTTAATAGTGAGATGAGGCTCAGGGGAGATACACAGCTTGCCTAAGCAACCACAGCTAGTAGTTTGCAAAGCCAGGGTTCAAACCAATTCTGTTTAACACTAATATTCTATCCTCTACATAAGAGATGCCACATTATATATTTTCCAGATAAAATTATACATCCAGCAAAATTTAGTAAATTATTAAATTCAGCAAAATGTTAAATTCCAGATGAATCACACAATGAAATTCATCTAGAATTTGGCAAAATGTTTTCCTACATTCCAGGTGAATGTCATTGTGTAATTCTGGGAAAAAATAAAGCTTATGTTTGCTTTATGAAAAAATTCACAGTTATTTTATTTTATTCTTCATTGAATCTCAGGCACTAAATCCCTGTGACTGCCTGGATTTACTTTTACTTAATAAGGAATTCTTGTTTTGATGAAATGAAATGAAAAGTCATGAGATTTTCTTATATTAGTCATGCTCAGAAAAATAAAGCAACAACTTTGAACATCTATTCTATAATTTATTCTAATACAAGTGATGAGGAACTAGAAGTTATTAAAAATCCAAAATAATTCAATTATAAAAATAACAAAAAGCAGAGTCTGCCAAATGCAATATAATGAATAGTCTCTAATGACACTGAAAGATGCAGCTGTGCTGTAACACTTTTCCCCGTGTGCCCAAAAGTGCTAAGCAGAGTAGTGAGCACATATTTGGTGCTAAACAAATTATTGTTGATTGATGATAGCTGCCAAGTCCTGAGTCAACTGTAACATTTAGGAGAGACCATGGAATTGTTCGAAAATTATATAAGATAAAAGTTATAAAGATAAAGGTTTTTAAGTGATAAACAATTGAGAGGTTATATTATAAATAAGATGAACAGTATGACTTTATACTTACAACTTCTAAATTGGAAAAATTGATATAAATAAATAACTTGATATAGAGGCAGATTTTTTAATATATCCCCAGTATTCCAGTAAATCTTGGCCTATAACGAACATCATAGTGAGCTGATGACAAATATTGGTTGAATAAATGAATAATTAAATATGTGACACAGATTTATACTCATTTATTAGATATTAGAAGTGCTAAACTGAATTTAAAGGACAAGGGAATAAATACAATAATGAGGCCGGTTAAATAATGTATAACTGAAAGATGGAAGTGAGCAGAGTGACATGGAAGGTATTGACAGAGAGATGGAATCTTCTAGATAGATCCCACATTCTAGTATCTTCTGGATTCCATTGTTGCAATTTAGAAGTTATCAGTCCAATTGCCTTTCCTTCACTGATGCTTTCCCTTGTTTCTCTGCTTCCAGTTCTTCTTTATTGTTGACGTCCTGCATTTTATTTTTATGTGTTTAGGCATAATTTTCTTTTAATTTATCCTGCTTCAGTTTCCCTTGGATTTCCAGTTCTGAAGATTGGACAGTCTCTAATGCCCATACTTCTACTAATAATATTCAAAGCAACCACTTTGTAAACATCTTCTACCTTATAAGTCCCTTCAGCCATCTCAGCAGAAGCCAAAAATGAAGGGATCACCTTGGAAAGATCCATGGACATGCCTCTTATCTAATGAAGTAAAGCCCTGTGACATACACAAGACACTCACAGAGTTGTTGAGAATTTCATATCACCAGAAACACTGCCAGATTAGACTGAAAGGGCTAGAGAGAGATGTGATGTGAGAAGGACTTAATCAGCTGTTGCTGGCTTTGAAGATGAAGAGGTGGTACACAAAGGCATTCTTTGGCCTTTAGAAGCTGAGTGCAACCTTCAACCTAGAGCAGCACAAGAAAATAAGGAGCTCAGTCCTATAACCACAGAAACTGACTTCTGCCAATAACCCAAATGAGTCGGAGAATGATTTTCCCATAGAGTCTCAAGAGAGAAATATAACCTAACAATACCTCGATTTTAGTCTGGTAATGTCCATACTGGACGTCTGACCTACAGAACTATGTTTTTACAGAGCTGTTGTCATAAGACACAATGTGCGTGATAATTTGTTATGGCAGTGATGTAGTTTGGGTGTTTGTCCCTTCTGAATCTCATGTCGAAATGTAATCCCCAATGTTGTAGGTGAGGCCAGGTCAAGGTGATTGGCTCATGGGGGCAGATCCCTCATACATGACAGCACCATCCCCATGGTAATAAGTGAACCTCCCTCAGTTAGTTAATGTGAGATCTGGTTGTTTAAAAGAGTATCCTACTGTCAGGCCTCTGAGCCCAAGCTAAGCCATCCAGATGGCCTGAAGCAACTGAAGATCCACAAAAGAAGTGAAAATAGCCTTAACTGATGACATTCCACCATTGTAATTTGTTTCTGCCCCATCCTAACTGATCAATGTACTTTGTAATCTCCCCCACCCTTAAGAAGGTTCTTTGTAATTCTCCCCACCCTTGAGAATGTACTTTGTGAGATCCACCCACTGCCCACAAAACATTGCTCCTAATTCCACCACCTATCCCAAAACCTACAAGAACTAATGATAATCCACCACCCTTTGCTGACTTTCTTTTTGGACTCAGCCCGCCCGCACCCAGGTGAAATAAACAGCCTTGTTGCTCACACAAAGCCTGTTTGGTGGTCTCTTCACACAGACAGGTGAGACAGTACCTCCCCCTTCTCTCTCACCCCCTTCCTTGCCACGTGACGTGCCTGCTCCCACTTCGTCTTCCACTATGAGTGAAAGCTCCCTGAGGCCTCACCAGAAACTGAGGAGATGCTGGCACCATGCTTCCTGTACAGCCTACAGAACCATGGGCCAATTAAACCTCTTTTCTTTATAAATTACCCCATCTGTAGGTGTTTCTTCATAGTGATGCAAAAATGGAACAATACAGACAGCAAAAGAAAATTAATATAATACTAAATAGTTTTTTTCTGTGTCTGATACTTCCAATATCTGAAATCTTTGTAAGTCTAGATCTCCTGTCATGCTTTTGTTAGCTTTAAGTCTATTTTATTTTTTACATTTTATAATTTTCAGATGATTTACTCATTTCCTTAGAACTGTATCTAGGAAATGCCTTGAATTTAGGTTCACACTACGAAGGATTCCTTTTGCATCCACCCCATGACTATGAATCTGTAACCACACAAAAGTATCAGTTGAGGTTTGTTGGACCACGCAGGTGAATTCTGCCCCCAAACCTGAGTGAAAGCTACCTTATATTTCTGAATTCTAAGGGCAGATTTGTGCCAATCCAATCAGTGGGAAGGTGTGGGTAAGTACATTTCTTTGATGTATATTCCCAGTGATAGGTTTATTTCCCATATAGAACACGACCCTGTTGAACCTGTTCTTACAGTATTGCCCTTTGGGATCCTGCTCTCTGGGGAGCTTTTCTATCAGTCTCCAACTTGGGCAAACCAGGCTTTATCTTACATTCCAAGCTTGGCACTTGCTTGCCTCTCAGGGTCCCTGCTTTCACTTCATCTTTATCCTCTTGGAATACTTTCTTTTCTAGCCCGCTCAGCAAAACATTTAAAAACAAGTTTCTTACAGTCACATTTTAGAGTTTTTCATTTATAACCTGCCAGAAAGAGAACCCTCGATATAATCTTTAAAACTATCTCAATTTATCTTGAAAAACTGAAGTGACTCATTGCATTGCCTGTATATAAGTTCCATTACCTTAAATAAAACAATTACCAAAGCTTTTCCACTCAATTTCTTAATGCATTTAACTAAAGTACTACTATTGGGGGAACTGCTGTGTGAGAAAAGTAAGTAGCAGACCACAGGTGCAAGTTTCACATTTTAAATCCCCACTTTCTAAAAATATATTGATAGCGCCATATGAAGACTCATCTCCAGACAAATGCAGGTCTAAATTCAGAAATTATATTTTCTTTTAGAAGTTTGATAAAGATTCATATTTTCCCTAGTCCTGAACCACCCAGTCAAAATGAGTAATAGCACCCTTTGGGCTTCTGTAACAGGGGATTACACTATGCTGTAATAATTTGTTTACATAGCTGACATTTTTAACTACACTGTGGGAATCTTGAAGAGAATATCTATTTTTCTTTACTGTTAGCTGAAAATTTAGCATAAAATTGACAAATTTAATCTACAAGTGAAGATGGTCAGTATAAAGAAATTAATTGGTAAGAAATTTGTAACTATGTTACACATATAATTTCCATCTATATTTTATTTACTAATGTTAAGAAAAAGTGTCTTTCATTTTTATAATATTTACCTCAGCATTAATGAATGACATCTCTCAAAATGAATTTCTAGCATAAGAAGAGTTTCCCTTCTTTATTCATCTATTTGGTTTTTTATTACCTGATTTACGTGTTTCACACAACGAGTAAAGGAGTGTTGTGATTCTAAAATACAAGTTGTTTTAAATCATGTTTTACCTGAAACATTGTTACTGGAATGGTGATAATACCATATGAAAGAAAATGCTTAAGGTAAGAGAAGTCACATTGTCAATAACATATTGAAATTGATGTTTACTAGAGTTGTGTTCTATGTAATTTGCATTATCAAGGGAGTCTGATGATCAGCCTTTAATCTACTTTATTCACTTTGTAGAAGTCAACATTTTAAGGTCAAGCAAACTAACAAAAAACAAATTCAAAACTCACAAAATCTTTTGAGATTTTTGAGTCAGTTATAGGAGGCAAGACTGGCTTTCAGCTTGCATCTTCTCACATATATTTTTTGATCTCACACAGCTATATTTTATTCAAAACTGTTCATCTGATAATTATGTTTAAAATGCCAGCTTTATGTTCTTCTATTGTTATACTAATTCTTTCAGAGAAATCACCCACTCTAAAATCTTTAATAAATATATTTAATGGAGCTAGGACTCAATCTTTGACTCTATTCTTCACTCGACTTTCTATGTCCTATAGAATAAATGAAGCTGAGCTCCCACTGGTACTTTAAAAGCAAAATAGAGACCAAACTCATATTGTTCTCTAACAAAACAGTTTATACTCTTACTTACATTCATTTGAAAATTTCCCTTATGCTATAGAAGAAACCCCAAAACCAATTTCTCTCCTCTTTTCTTTATTCCTTTCATCTAATCTATCATAAATACTGTCATATTTATTTCCTTTATGTCTCTGGCAACAGCATGCACACCCTTCCTCTATTGCTTCTGTTAGGATTAAGTCATCATTTTATACCTTGGAAAAACTAGACAATTCGTCATTTTAAATTTTTTTTATTTGGCTACCCCATATAGATTGTGGATTCTTTCACTCAACTATGATATTATAAAATGCAGCCCATTATTTTTCAGGTAGAGAATACTGGAATCAGGGGATCAGTTATGAAGCTGGAAAAATCACTTTCTCTTATCAACAAAATAAGTCCATACACCTCCATCTACTTGGGTAACCCAATTTTCCTAAATTTTCCTCAAATATGCATCATTCCAATTGTCCCTCCAGCAAATTTCAGTGTTAGACAGACCTCATCTAGTAACTACACTAGAAATGATCCAAAGTGGATATCTACAAATCAGTAATTATGAAATTATAGTTAGTTAACTAGAAGATTAAAATGTTCTTACTTTTAGCAAAAATTT
This sequence comes from Homo sapiens, assembly GCF_000001405.40. NCBI lineage: Eukaryota > Metazoa > Chordata > Mammalia > Primates > Hominidae > Homo > Homo sapiens. Next base: position 40,782,456 of record NC_000012.12, on the reverse strand, counting down.
TCAATTTGTTCTATAGAAGATCAGTTGCATTTTAATCCCTAAGAAGTTTTAAGTTGTTGTTTTGACTATTATATAAGGTTTTGGCATATTCATAAATTACATTTATAAAATCAGTAAATACATTTAAGCTAAAAGGGTTTGACCTTTTTTTTATTTTTTCAAAGCCTGTTAATGGTTCATATCCAAAACACCATCTTACTCAGCATTATCAACTTCTATTAGAAATTAATACTTCAAATAAAACTATAATACTTTAATATCACTGCTGAATTTGTCCCACTTTATGATGTACAACACTATTATTGGAACTTTTAAAAAATATGTGTGCATATTGATAGATAGGTAATAGGGGATGGTTTCACTCAAATTACTATTATGTAACAAAATTAAACTTCAAAAATTAACAATTTCTCATGTGACAAGACAAAATTATATTCAGATGGTATTCTAAAAATATTTATTCTCTCAAGATGACTAATAAAAAATTAATAGTAGGAAGAGAACAGAAAGAGCCCATTAAATTTCCAAATCTCAGTTACCTTGATAATTAACATTGTATTCTAAAGGAAAAGCATTATATTCTCCTGAGAAAATATGAGATCAGATGCAGAAACCAAAATATAAACATGCGTTAAATAAATCAATAAGGATCCATTCTGACTATAATAGAGAACAATTGAGAAGACACAGTGTACACACAGAAACAATTAAATTTAGGGCCTTTTATTCTGCTATATTCACTTGATCATGTTGCTTTTGGGTTTTTATGTTCCAGTTCTTCACCTTGGTGACTCATTTCAACCCAGATATTGGTTTAAAAAAATTGATTAATGATGAAATTTAATGGGAGGCAGAAATTTAACAATGACTAACCCTCCCATTAGCCCATACAAGATAATAAAATAACAAAATTTGTACCACATTTAAGTTTGTTCCTAATACATGCAGAAGAAATATTTGTCTCCCATGGAACCCTTAGGAAAAGAGAGGAAAGTTCACCCAGGAATCTCTGACACATACTCAATAGAGGACTGGGACCAGGATCAATGGCCCAGCCTGAACCAAGATTTAAATTTTCTATTGGAATGGTCAAGACAGATGTCCAAAGAGACAGAGACCCAAGTGTGAGAGTGCAGTGCTATTGTGTCTTCTGGTGGCTTATATAAAATCTCTCTTCTTCTGACTTCACTCTTTATCTCATCTGAGGCCTTTTGTCCCACAGGTACGGTTGTGCATTCACCTGTTCCTAGCACTTTACCTATCTGTGCAAATATGGCTTTGAAGGTCTAATATAGTCATAGCTTATGTCCCAAGATGCACTATTCTCTTTGCTGGTCACTTACATTTCGAGGGTCTTATATTTGTTTCACATCTGATTTATTTCATCTATTTGGTTCCCATTATTAGCTGCTTATAGATGAGATACCTCTTGCTAACAGAGGTAACCTTAGTAGTGAGTATGTGATTGCTGTCTAGTGTAAAAGAAAGCCTGATGCATTAATGAGTCATATCACCCTTAGAAATTAAAAAAAAAAAAGATTTCCATCATTTTTGCACAAAATTCTTTAAAAATGAAAATTCTACCCTTTGGTATGAGCATCATTCCAGGAGCCACATCATACCTTCCTACTCAACAAACCCTGAACCTCTGAAAAAAAAAAAGAGGCTTGAATAGAATGCCTTAACCTCTCCTTAAAGGCCTCCTCTTTTGATTCATGGATTTTTGAGATGAACCTTGAAATGAGGATTGGTGTTTTTTTTTTTTTTTTTCTTAGATGGAATCTCACTGTGTTGCCCAGGCTGGCCTCAAACTCCTGTCCTCAAGTGATCCCTCCATGTCAGCCTCCCGAGAATAGAGAATTTGACATTTTATTCTCACACAATGGCACTCTCTATGAAAATATCAGACATGCAAATATAAGAAAGACTTTCAAATTTTATTTTATTTTGATAGGTAGCATGGGAATCAATTGAAATACTGTAGCTGCCATATTGTAGCTGAAACCATATTGTAGCTGCCCACAGTGTTGTTAACTAAATAAATTATTGATCATTGTCAGAATTTTCTTCTCGAATATTTTGAATTCCTAGGGGTCTTAAACTTCAAAACCTAATCATTCAGATAATTCCTTATTCCTTTTCCCAATTGGGATATGTATGTGACAAGTTCACCTGTCATCCTCCCAGGATGCCCATCTTGGGTAGACAAACTGAGATACATAGCTTCCCATGATCATCCTGTACAATTGTAGCAACTTCTTAAAATTTGTGAATTACAAAATTCACAGAGAATTTCTTCCATATACCTGTACTGATCAGCCGTATCTCCAAAGCAGGTCACTTTTAGGCATGGTAGGACTATGGTCTAGAATAGGATATAAAAAGAGAACACACTTCGGTCTGAAGGCTTTTCAAGAGAAAGACACGTGGTCCAGAAGATCTTAGGAATCCTCACTATAATCCAAGCTCAAACTCTTTCAATTTGCTCCAGAATGACACCTGTTTGGGGAGATTTAGTCTTCCAATGTAAAAGAGTCCTCATAACAATGGCAGAAACAGAAACCAGAATCAGATTGCTTTGAACTGCACTCATCTGTGAAAAGCTTTCATAATCTAGCTAAAATATATCCTGCTGAACTATGATTATACCTGCACTTTGATATCAATGGCAATGACACTTTTTATATTCAATTTCTTCTTTTAAAAATAGATTTAACTTCTGCTCTTATTTTCATTTAACTTTGAGGAACTTCTATGTTGGATTCCAAAGCATCTCTTAACTGTTTTACAGTCAATAATAGGAAAACTTCACTTTCATGGCTTAACTCTAAAGAAACACATTTAAAAGAATGTCTTAAATGACAGCAATGCTTTTGGAGGCTGTACTTATAATTAAGGTTCAATCCCTGGCCACTGATGTTTAGGACTTCGGAAAGCTCAATAAAAAAATTAATCTCTTAAGGTTTGCTGTTTATTTTCTTACTCCATAACTAATTATTCCTTTAGCTGTATCTACACATCCAAATGATACCAGACAACTAGCTTTTAAATTATAAGTGTCCTTGGTAGAATTATTTTAAAAGGTAAGTGGAAAAAGGTGAGTAAGGTTAAGTTCTTAACTTGTTTTTAAGAATGAGAAGTAGCACACAAAACAAATTGCTAAATAAATTCACACAAACAGACGGGGAAATTTGAGAAATAGACTTTTTGAAGAATATTCTGAGTAAATTTGACATATTTTACTTAATGAACTCAATCTTTACCATACTATTAATTAAGAAACTGTTATTTACTAAGATTTTAACATAATTATCAAAAATCCTTAAAAAAATAAAGATTATTTATTTTGCTTTCAGAAATGTGGAAACTAAAGTCTATCCCAAAATTATACAGCTAGTATTTGAGTAAGACTACATCTACCTGACTGTTCATATTTTTCCATAACAATATGCTGCCTAATTTTTAGTCATTTTTCCATATGAAAAGGAAAGGTTTCAACTACTTGATTTAATGAATGAAGTAGGCACTCATGGAATTTCCTGACTATCAACCAAAAATAGTTTCAAACAGGCAACTAACTCAGTCACTGTATCATCAAATAACATGGCTCTTCTAAAACTACTAAATGGACTTTTCCCCACTATTATATTTTAATGACAAAACAATCAGTCGTTGAGAGCCAATTTCTTATAGGAAATATTTTCTATGTAGTTCCAATAAAAATCTGGCAAAAATGAACAAGTTGCTTTGTCTTAGGTTTTTTTTGGTTAGTTTTGTTTTGTTTTTTAAGATAAAACCTAAGGGATTGTTCGTGTTTAAGCCAGCATGCTATAATTAGGTTTATGTTCATTCATAAAAGATACTTTGAAAGGCAAAATGAGACTCAATATGCTCCAGATTAATATAATATTTTTTGTCTATTTGTAGAATTGAGCAAAATGGAAAGTCAAGTGAATTGGTATTTTAAAATGGATAAAAAATCAGGGGTTCATAAATATTTTGCATAAAGGCCAGATAAATACTTTGTTCTTTCCAGACCATATGGTCTCTGTGACAACTACCCAATTCTGCCCTTGTATCAGGAAAGCAGCCTAGACTGTATATAAATGAATGCATGTGGCTATGTTCCAATAAAACTTTATTTACAAAAACAGTACAGGGGTTGGATATAGTCCATGGCCTGTGCTTTGCTGACCTCTGAAATAGGAGAACAATAAAATATGATGATAACATGGAAATGGTGAAGCCAAGATACTTTTTTATAGTTTGGTAATAAGCCTTCACATAGTTTTGTCCAACATTCAGGTACAATTAGATTCCAGGCTACATCCTGAGTTATTAAAAAAATAGGATGACTGTTCCTCTGGTTCTTTTGAAATGACCTCAAATAAATATTCCTGAAGACATGTTTAATGATTTGTAGTGAAATGTTAAAACCAACAGTGTTTTCATTGCCCCTTTACATTAGCGTAAGGACTTCCATAATCTGGTATCTTGTCATGATGTGCTTTTGAGGCAGTAGACTGGAAACATCTACAGGTAAATTTGAAGTTGCTTATTACTTATACATATTTCCATATTTACCCTTCCCAAAGACTGACTGAAAGAGACTGTTATTAATCATGCCATAGGTGATGAATCTGAAGCTCAAAGTTGTTGAGTATATTACCAAGGTTAAGCTACTAAACAGTTGGACCGGGGTTTGAAAAGCACAGCATTACGCAGAGCTACCATGTGTGCTCATGCAGTTTATGCACCCCTTAGAACACGACATATCAGAGCATAGACAATGCAGATTTGTATATTCATTCCAGACTTTTTCCCATAGATGGCAGTAAAATATATTTTTCTTAAAAAATTTACATTGTGACTTTTTTAAAAAGAAGGATGTATATTACAGAAGGAATCTTTTTCTAATTCACTGCAATATGCCATATGTGATAGTACTCATCCTGTGCTGACCCTGAAGACTTGTTCTTTTACATTAGGCTAAACTCTGTGCCAGGAGGGTCGCCTAGGTGTTACCAAAGAGTAAGGTATTCAGGAAATGCTGTGTTCCCAGACAGCATATGTAACATTAGCCTTTCCCTTCCTTTAAGTCCTAGGAAGAGCTTATTATTATATACACACAGAAAGGTTTCATATATAAAAGAAATTTCAAGATAGAATTGATAAGACTTGGTAACTGATTGGATATAGAGAATTAAAAAAAAAAAACATAGTAATTAGATACCCTGACTATCCTAGCATGGTTGACTAGATGTATGGATATGCTATTACTTGATATTGGAGATAGAGTCTGGAGAAAGACAGATGATTTTCGCTTTAAGGTTTAGTGAGAAATGTTATATTGATCAAAAAGGAAGTTGAATATATGTACCCAAAGTAAAGAGAGAGGTCAAGGCTAGAGTTAGGGTTTGGGATGCCATTTTTATAGAGGTGTGACAGTTAATGCCAAGAGAATCAGGGGACATAAGTGGGAAGAATTTAAGACTGGGAGAGGTGGGATATACAAGATAAACAAAAAACAAAATAACAGTATAAAAGTGTGGCCAGAGAAAATATATAACATGTTAAAAATAGGTCACTGAAGCCAAAAACAAAAACTGCTTTAATGAAAAGAGTTTCTTAAGTGTGTCGCCTACTTGATAGAGTTCTAGAAAAATGAGAATTGTACAGAAATCATTATAGCTGGCAATTCAAGAGTAACTGGTGAATTCTGCAAAGTCACTCTCAACCCAATAGTAAAGGGAGGTGTTAAAGATGTTGAAATAATACAGAGACTATTCCTTTCTTAAGTCTAAAACTTAGAAGTCAGAAAAGAAGGAAGTAGGGATAGAGAAAGATTTTTGTTTGTTTCCTGTTTGTTTTTAAGAATGTAAGCTCAATGGGCATTTTTAAAGTTGGGAATGTATCTGGAAAAAAGGAGCAATTCAAAATATAAAAATGAGGCATGAGTAATTGACCCCACAGTATTTCACAGAAGACCTAAGAATTACGAGTCACAAATCAATAATGGCTGGAAGTGAAATCCTCTCCTGGTTCTATCTTAAAACAAAACAAAAGAAAAAAAAGTAACTTTATTGATATATAATTTGCACACCCCAAAACTGATCTATTTTAAGTGTGCAATTCAGTGAATTTTGGTTTGTTATAAAGGCTTTACTTTTATCTTATGTGTCCAACTCTTGTTGAGAACTCTTGATCTTATCTGTCTTACAGTGTTGTAGAATTCTATACTCAGTAATGAGTCCCAACTGTACACTGGCTAGTATAACACAGAAACTATAATTTGTGGCCCATTTTAAATAAAAAAGAATAGAAATTTAAAACAAAGGAATAATAGAGAAATATCAGTGCTTTGGGCTGCAATAACATTACCATACAACATGTGGAATGAGGCAAATGCCCTAAATAGTTGCTATTGTAACTTTTACAATGGATAATTAATAAGCTACACTGTATAATTCAAAAAACTTTTGTTTTATACTATTAAAAATCTATCTATATCTGTAATTGACTCATGAAGTAACTATGCAGTGACAACATACTACTTACACTACGTTTTTGACTCACATTGATCTCTGGGGCTTTTTCTTGTTTGCTTACTTGTTTTTGGCAATGTTACCCCGCAATGTTTCTAGCATTTCAAGTCACCATTGTCTTAGTTATTTGTGTCTAACTTAGGTCTTAATTTATAAGAAAAAACTTGCTGGTGCCTACACATAACAAAATTTATTATGTAACTCTGTCTTTCTACTGTCTTTCTTTAAACTCATGGATTTATGTATTTGTACACTTTAGTTTTTGAATTGCTGATTTCCAGACTTAAAGTATGTTCATATTTTACTTGTGATTAGGAGAAACGATTTCTCAAATGAAGTAAAAAGTAAACAGAAAAAAAGATAAACCGTGGCCTAGTCCTAATATACATATGTTATTCCCTACTAGGATATCAGGCTTAGATCTGTAATCAAAGAGACATTTATTTAGTACCCAAAATATAATGGAAAAAAATAATTATAGAACTAAAGATAAACTACTTACCCAAGTTTCTAGGCCTCTAGGTAATTATATCTCATACCTAAAAATTTTTCCAAATTAATATCTACCAAAGGAAATATACATTACATTATATATAATTCATTTATATTAAAGAAACATGCATTATATTTAAAAACATTTAATTGTGGTCTTCATTTAAATATGTTAGTTTCCTTCCAAATACAGCATCTAAAGTTATTTTTAAAATCTCTCCTCCATATAGTAGATCAAGATAAATAACCACTTTCCTATTAAACATTAGAAAGAACAATAAAGAGGGGATGGTTAATGGGTACAAAAATATAGTAAGATAGAAGGAATAAGAGCGGGTGTTCAGTAGCAAAAAAGAGTGACCAAAATTAACAATAATTTATTGTACATTTTAAATTAAGCCAGTTGAATTGGAATGCTCCAAATACAAAGAAATGATAAATACTTGAGATGATGGATAACTCTATTATCCTTATTTAATCATTACATATTGTATACTTATATCAAAGTATCACATGTACCTTATAAATATGTACAACTATTATTTAACCATACTAATAAAAAATTTAAAAAGACTTAGTTGCTCTAATTTCTCTTTTAAATATTTTAGTAAACTTTGATTTTAAAAAACTAGAGAAAGGTAATAAAAAAAAAAGGCCAAAAGTAGAAGACTAAAAGCATAATTTAAATGTTCTCTTAGTGCAAGAAGATTCAATAATAGCTAAATTATATATTGAGATGAGAGTTAAGTGTGTGATTTCTGTAGTTATTCATGAAATTACACTGGAGAGGAAGCAGTAGAATACGTTATAAAGCAGACTTTATCACATTGAGTTTATTTATTTGTTAAAATATTCATGAAAGTTGACAATCACCATTAGTTTTTCTCTCCTTGGAGGAGACTCTCATCAGATCACATATATTTTCTATAATCATTCTTTAAATATGTGCTGTCTTGTGAGATTGCAAATTTCCCTCTCATGAATAATTGAACTACTGATAGATCGATGTCTTCCCTTAAACATTCAGAGATGAATCCAGTCTTTGAAATTCTCTTTAGACATCACAATCGTGACTGCCTTCCTTAGAGAGCCTTTCCAACAATACAAACCCCACACTACTTGGCAACCTTCTGAGGAGCTCTTTCAAATATGAGGCTCCTTCCTTTTGTCACCAATCCTCACTTACAGATCTTAATTTTACAAAAAAAAATGTAGTCTTCAATTTGTTTTGAGCTTCTCTCTTCCCTGATCAACTCGTCCCACCTATATCAACCAAGTTATTATGTTATCTTACAATCTTCCTTGTTTGGAATTACATGTTTTTGCTCATGAGGGTCTGCCTACTTCAGCTTGTTCTATACTCCAGCTTCTTCAGGGCATTGCAAATACAGTGACAACCAATGAGAACAAGTCAAACACATCTTTTCCGTCGTTGAGCTTAAATTGTAGAGAAAGAAGATGGTAAGTGTGCTGACAAAAATAAGTTCCATGAAAATTGCATTTGACGAGATCATATCTGGAGTTCTGTGTCCAATACTAAAGATATGCTTCTAACAATTATATATAATGTAAACTAATGTTTGCTGATACATTGCTTTGGAAATATGCTCTAATTTTTGTGCAAAATTTGCTTGTTAAGAACAGGGATAACAGCTCACACTTGCCAGAAAGTACTTAGAATAGCAACATATATATATATATGTGTATATATATATATATATATGTGTATATATATATATATATGTGTATATATATATATATGTGTATATATATATATATATATATACAGTTTCTGGTCAGAGGTCAGAAAAACATTGTTTAAAGTGAAGAATGCTGAGCACTATCATAAAGCTAACACTGTTTTGTTTTGTTTTCGGAAGTCTCTGTAGCTTCCTGCTGCTCACACAGCACAGATTTAACATATGAAAGTCAATGAAATGTTAACTATGTATATTAAAATCATTTCCTAGGTTTACACATCTATTCTTATATTTTTAAAAATAAATATAGGTTTTGAGAATTTGAAAGGATGGAAAAATGTCTGAATCCTCACTGTTGTACAGGATGAATGTAAAATTAAAACTAAAACGACTTAACTATCGTTTTCTAAAACGAAAAGTGCCAAGCCAGTCAGAGCAGAAAAGGAGTAGGCTACAGGCTTACATAGAGTGTTTTATCAGCACTTTGTCTCATAAAACAAATATGGAATTCAGTTGTCTTTAACTCAGGTATTAATTTTTATGGAGTTTAAACTTATTTGAAGGTGTTATTTGACAGAAACATTAATATTAGAGTCAACATATGGTGGATATATTGCATGAATTTTTAAAAGAACTAATATATCAACCAAAGCAAAGTTTATACACATTTGCCTATCTAAGATTAGTTACAAAAGTTTGGAATATATGTATATCCAATGTGCGTATATCCAATCCACGATATATATTCGCACACACGATATGTATACTTCTTTTCCACTTACCTGAGCTTGACACAGTGCATTTTAGTTCCACTTCCCATAGAAATTAACAGCATGTGAAGTGGCAATTTTAATGGGGTCTACAATCTTTTTAGTCTCACTGTCCCCATGCTAATGAAGCCCTTCTTTCTATTGCTTAGACAATTACAACAACTTTTTAATTAGCCTCCTTTTCCAGTTTATCTGGCGCATTGATTCCAGAGAAACATTCTTATGTCACAGCCATAATAATCTGATTGTCCTGTTAAGATATATTCAATGCCTTCCCAACATCAGCTCAATATTCATTTTGAAATTATCAAGGTACAGAATGATACTTATATTTATTTTTCATAAGCCTAAATACTCAACTTACAGTATTGAATTACTGGGTAAGAGAAAACATGGCAAAAATTGTACAGGTATAGGTATAAAGTTAATCTTTCAAACTTATAACGCTGTGGCAAGTATTAATATCTCCCCTCTATTTTGCTTCTTCTTAGTTTTAATACCAGATTAGATTTTAATTCTTTATTCTCTGGCTTTAACTTCTCATATTATAATTAAAATTCCTCTAGGTAACTTACTATGGAAGTCATCTATTACATTGTGATAAGACACAATATGTGATGACAAACAAATGAGCGTGATTGCTTCAGCCAAAGAAAGTTCATGTTCTTTTTGCTTTTTACTTGTACCACATGGATAAAAAATAATCTATCTTTAAAGCACAAATACTTGAAGGCAATTTAGAAACAACTTTATTCCGAATTATGTGAATAATTCACAATTCCATATAACATCTGCAGTATATTATTTTGCAGATAAGAAATAAATATGAGAAAAAAGTTTATATGAAGGGTTGGAGGTGAAGCCAAAATTAGTATTCCAGTATCTGGATAACCAGATTTCTCCTCCAGTAAATTTACTTGACCATATAAAGTTACAAGCATAATTTTCTGAGAAATCTAAGGAGCCAGGAGCCCTGGAGACTTAGATTCTAATCCTCCTCTGCCACTTGCCATGTGTTCTGTCCAAATTGCTATGTGTGTATTTCCCTCGGCATAGCATTAAGGAAGAGGGTGCAGATCAAGACCATTTAAATTGTCTTTTAAACAAAAATTAAAAATCATATAAAATTGATATTATTAAATAATTAGTATTACCAAATAATTATAATAGATCTCATATTTTATTTTTTGGACACCTCATAAATACACCACCCACCCTAACCAATTTTACAACTGGCCGTTCTCCTTGGGTAGGGCCATAGGCAACCCACAGCTTATAGGTGCCTATTGTGCTTATTAATTCTGCAGCTCAGTTGCTCATGAAAGCAGCAATACATATCTTTCCCACTTATTTACACTATCATTGACTAATCCTGAATTGAGGACTTTCTGCATCAGCACAGATTAGATAAATAGTCAGGTTTCCTCTGTCTGGGCTGTCTAAATAAGAACATATCCCTCTTAAATATATAGAGTTTCCCATATCTAGCAGAATATTTGCAAGAACAACATTATAAAAGAAATAAATAACACTAGACATTGACTTTATTTTACTTCAAAATTAAGCTTCTCGGCAAATTATCCTAAAGCCAAAGTAAAAAATATACATAGTGACCATTCATGGAAAGAATACAGGATGACAGACTGATATGAAGAAAAGAATTTTAGTTTGCAAGCCTGAGAAATGGTTCTAGCCCAGATTCTAATACTCTCTGAGTGTGATCCTAATTCAACAAGCTTTCACAAGCCTCAATCTTTTCTCTAATTGTAGCAGAATTAAATTTATGTCTAATGTGATTTCTTATTAGAATATTCTAAAAGTTTCATGAGATCCTATTGAATTTATTTCCTGGGTTTCTCTTAGAGCAGGCTTCTTTAGTACATGGACAGACTATAATTATGAACAAATGAAAATGCACTGAGGTTTCTGACTCAATAAGCAAAGCAAGACTCAGCTCACAGGATTGGAAAACAATGAATTAAAATTGAAACACTAATAAGGGAGTTTCCACCTCATTAGTTTCATAATGCACCCGCCCCTGCTTATTTCATTGTCACTAGTAAAATGTAATAGCTTCATATTTTATATTTATTATTTTGCATATACCATGTGCTTTAGACTATCCAATAAAGTTCACGTAACAGAAAAAGCATGAATCAAGTCAGGCCAGTCTCAGTCTCTTGCACAATCTCTGATCATCCCCTCTTTATACACATTTTAGAAATATTTGTGATTATATTTTTGTTAATGGCATATTATATGTTAAGCTTTATGTATTCCTTATATGGCATCTAGACTCTAAAATTCCTATTTGAACCCAATATGTGAATTGGTATAGGCTATATATACACCCTTTACTAATTCTTTTCATGGCTTCAATACCTAAAGCATTGAAAATACACACATTCACACACATGCACATATACACACATCCATGCATATGAAAATCTAATGGCTGTATTTTAACAAAAGTTTACCATAGAAATGTTCTGATTCCATTTATATATGCTTTATTACTGAAAATTTTATTATTCTAGTGCTAGTTTTATTTCCAGTTCCAGATAATATTGCATCTAAGTTGGCCCTTTAGAAAAGACTCAAAGAGATTTTAATGATTTCCTCTGAAAATTTTCTGAATGCAACCCTGGGCCTGAGGGCTGTTCTTTCTCTGGATCACTGATTTGGTGAATGCCTCTCCAGAATAACTGAGGTTACAAAGACTGCCAATTTATTCTCCAAGGAACCCCCTCTTTCCAGGTAACAGTGGCATACTCTGAGGCGCTAAAAAAAGTTGATTGCTTTATAAAGAGGGATTTGGTAGTATTTAACAAAATACAAAGCTTGGCATGACTAAGGCTATAGAGCTCCTCCAATCTCAATAGGGTTACAGTTTTTGTTTCACTACCTGTCAAAAGAACACTGTGCCTGAGTGCAAAACAACCTAACAGAACTCTCTTCTCACTTCTCTGCAACAGAGTTCATAGGCCCTTAGGTCTTCTCCTCTCTACATATGTTTCCCGTTTTTTATTTTTAATAATGTTCTGTTAGAGATATTTACACATAACTAATTACTGGGCCAAGGATGAAACCTTTCCTAGAGGTATATTTCTATAAATATTACAATTTATTATTGCCTTTAAAATATCTAAACAGTACAGGGCCAGGACCAGGATGAAACAATAAGGCACTTGCCTCAGGTGCAAAATTTAAGGGAACTCCAAAAAAAATCCCTAATAAAGATAAATAATATTTTAATGCAATATCCTAAAGCAGCAAAATTGATGCAAAAATTCATGATGAACAAAACACAAAAATTTTAAATGAAGACAAGTTCCTATGCACTGTATCTAACTAAATAAGCCCTCACATTGCTGGTTGTTTCCTCTTACACTGGGTTAATTGAAACATACTAGAGTTCAGTTCATAAATGTCAGAATAAATATCATTAAACACCAAATCTATAATGTATTTATTTTTTTCTCCTGTATAAATTGAATTTTAATTGTTGGCCATGGGCAAACACAAGATGCACTTCATAGTCTGCTCTTGTTTCCAAAATAATTACAATTGGCTATGATATTTAATAACATTAACATCATGTTTATCAGAAGATTGAATTTAGTGCAATGTTATTCTTCCCCTCCCACTAATAAAAATCAATTGCTCATGTGTTTCAGAAAAAAAGATATATTGTTTACAACTACTAAAATTCATCTTCATAGAATTATTCTGCTTATTTTTATTTTATGTTTTTTTTAAAGCATGTTGAATCTAGGAATGAAAATAACAATAATGAATACTTTATAATTCCACACAGATGCACTATGGTATATCTGACTTTGTAATTTGCAATAATGAATTGCCACTAGAAAGCAATTATACCCACTCAGACCTTCTGTAGACCCTGCTTTGGGATGATTGGTTCATGCTGATCATCACAGCACACTGTTTTGGGGACACCACCAGAGTTTGAAAGAACATGTAAACATATATGTTTATATATGAACATATGCAATAACATAAAAATAAAAGATTCTTATGTATAATAAAATAAAAATAAATAGTCCTTGATTGCACATAAGAATAAACTTACTATTTAAAATTTGAGAAAATGTACACAAGGGACTCACTAGAGATTATTTCTTGCTCAAACTCCTCTTCCTTGTCTGTTTCTCACTTTGCATTCAGAGAAGTCAGCCTTTCAGCTGACCTAATGAAAACATTGTTGTAAAAATGAGAGGCCAACCTGTGTGCAGTTGCAATTCAGCCAGAAAGAATGCTAATTCTTGGCTTCAGTACGTTGTTTAAAGGAATTAAAGGCTTTTCTGTGGCATGGAACACGGTGATCAGCCAGGAACTGTTAGAGATGAAAATAACCTTGCTTTGTTATAACCCAAAAAGTGTAGTACTTTTTCAGTTTCATACAAGATGCTTACTAGTGCCTAGTTGAGAAAAAGACAGAGGGTTAGGAAAAGATGGATCACGTCTTGGCCATTTTCTATAAAGGATATGATTTCCTAATTAGTGTGTGCTTATAAGGGATTTGTAAAAGCAGTACAAACAGGTGTTTTAACAAAAGTACTGACATGGCTTTGAAATTGCCCGGGTATGGACAAAGATCTGCGGGCTCGCGGTGGAGGAACCAACTTGAGGGCCCCTCAACCCTTACCAGCTACGTGACCTTCAATTCTGAGCTAAAGTGTCTTTTTCCATGAAATAACATTACTGACATCCACTTCAGAGAATTGTGGTAACAATTAAGTAACACAGCAACTATTAATAATTTGTAAATTATAAACTGTAATACAAATGTTGTAAAGGAATTTAAAGGATACATCGAGAATATGAGTAACGTTGTAAAGCCAATCTCCATTTGTACTGTGAAGAAATTTATTTTAAAATTATTTTTATCAGTCTATAAATGTATAAGCTTTAGAAGTATATCAGTATAGAAATGATCAGTCTTTAGAAGTATAACTGATAAAATATTGCAACAAAATCATTTATTACATTAAGATTTTCCTTTTTGGGAATACAAAGTATTAAAGAAACATTAATGGGCCTTATAATTTACTAGGTTAGAAAAGTCAATTGTTTAAGGAAAACACTTTATTTTTACTTACTAAAATATAAATTAATAAGAAAAGTGGAAAGAAAATTATCTCAGTTTGATAACTTTTCAAGTAGTATTTAAGTAACATATAAAGAAAGGTCAGTAGACCCGGGAGGTGGAGCTTGCAGTGAGCCGAGATCGCTCCACTGCACTCCAGCCTGGGCGACAGAGCAAGACGCCGTCTCAAACAAACAAACAAACAAACAAACAAACAAACAAACAAAAAAAGGGCCAGGAGCCGTGGCTCATGCCTGTAATCCCAGCACTTTGGGAGGCCAAGGCGGGCGGATCAAGAGGTCAGGAGATCGAGATCATCCTGGCTAACACGGTGAAACCCCATCTCTACTAAAAATACAGAAAATTAGCTGGGCGAGGTGGTGCACGCCTGTAGTCCCAGCTACTCGGGAGGCTGGGGCAGGAGAATGGGGTGAACCCGGGAGGCAGAGCTTGCAGTGAGCCGAGATCGTGCCACTGCACTCCAGCCTGGGCGACAGAGCGAGACTCCGTCTCAAAAAAAAAAAAAAAAAAAAAAGGAAAGGTCAGCAGAAATAAGATAATTCAATTATTAAGAACTAATTAAGAAGTAAACATCTTATATCATAGTATTATTGACCCCTTGACCCCTAGTAATTTTCAGACCAAGGAGAGACTATGTAAAATAAATTGGAAATTTGAAATTTCTAAATACTCTCCTTGATCATATTAAAAATATATATTTCCTTGAATCATTACATTTGTTTAAAGTAACTTTTCATTACTATAATGTTCATTATTATTAACCCATGATTCTCAAATCTATCTCCATTCCCAATCTCTCTTCTGAAGTCCAGATTTCTATTTTCAGTTTTATACTGGACATTATACTTGAATATTTCCCATAGACCCCTAAAATTTAACCTGTTCAAAAATAAATTCAACATCTCCCACAGGCTCACATCTGCTCTGTCCATATATTCCTGTCTGATTGAGAAGCACCACTATCCACACAGTGACTCACATCTAAAAGGTGGCAGTCACAACCTTGCCTGACCTCAGACCCAACTGATTGGTCTCCAGGTTAAATGTATTCTATTTCTAAAATATCTGCCATTATTTATCATTGCATCTCTCTACTGTCCAACATCTCTTCTCATCCTCCACCACCACCTGTCCTTCCATGTATCACACTCTAATATATTCTATTACAATTCCACAGGGAAACACCCTATTGGGGTGCATCAGATAAGTTGATCAAGAGAATCCACCCAAGGATTACAGGATATTTAGTACCCTCCACCCCTTTTAAAGGCCAGTAACACCTAAAATTTGCAGGACCAAGCCCCATCCAATACATACACACATTTCTAATTATCTCAGAGGTGATGGTACAGTTCTCTGATTATTTCATTAAATGCTCTGCCTCTGAGCCTTTAGAGCACATTCTTCAATGCTTTTGAAATGCTGGAATGCTTTTTCTTTCTTTCTTTTTTTTTTTTTTTTTAAGACGGAGTTTCATTCCGTCACCCAGGCTGGAGTACAGTGGCATGATCTCAGCTCACTGAAACCACCACTTCCCGGGTTCAAGTGACTCTCCTGCCTCAGCTTCCCAAGTAGCTGGGATTACAGGCACATGTCACCATGCCGGCTAATTTTTGTATTTTTAGTAGAGATGGGGTTTCGCCATGATGGCCAGACTGATCTCGAACCCTTGACCTCAAGTGATCTGCGGGCCTCGGCCTCCCAAAGTGCTGGGACTACAGGCGTGAGCCACCGTGCCCAGCCTGGAATGCAATTTCCTCTAATGTTTGCCAAGAAAACCGTCAAGCACTTCTCAAGCCCCAGTCTTTCCTCCTCTTAGTTTCCCACAGTTAAAATAACCATAGGCATCTCCAGCTTCCACAACATTGGATATATCTTTTGCCCAGGACTTGTAAAATTTTGTTTTAGTTTGTTTTTGCATGTCTGATTCCCTCCAACACTATGAGCTCCATCAAAGCTTAAAACATCATTTGTTATCTTTGTGTCCCCAGTGACCTGTATACAGCAGGAGATTGATAAATGTGTGA
Organism: Homo sapiens; assembly: GCF_000001405.40. Taxonomy (NCBI): domain Eukaryota; kingdom Metazoa; phylum Chordata; class Mammalia; order Primates; family Hominidae; genus Homo; species Homo sapiens. The sequence goes on along the minus strand of NC_000012.12, from coordinate 40,765,791 downwards.
ATTTATTTATTCTTTCAGAATTAAACAATGTTTTAAATTTTCTATTGGCAAAAAATATGGGTGTTATACCATCTTTTGCCAACTATTCTTGTCAAGGTCATCAAAGGTCTTGGATTGTCAAAATCAATAGTCATTTTTCTGTTCTCATATTACTTCACCTTTTAGAAATATTTGACACAGTTAGCCACTGAACTCCATCTTAAAACACATTTTTTCCCTTGACTCTGTTAACCAAACTTATTATTTTCCTCTCACTTTCCTAAAGACTCATTCTTGTTCTCCTTTGCTTGTTCCTTTGCCTCTGTTCTATCTCTGAAGTTGAAATACATTAGGACTCTTCTCTAGCTAAATGCTCTGTCCAGGTGATACTATTAGACTCCCAAATCTGTGAATCAGCTTCCTATCCTTTCACTGAGCTCCAAACTTTTATACTGTACTCCTGGATTGACATCTCCACTTGTATGTCAAATGACATCTAAACTTCGCATGGCCAAATTTGACATATTACTCGAACCTGTTCCTTTCTGAGTTTTCCTCTCAGAAAAATGTCCTCATCATTCACACTGCAACTCAAGTCAAGCCACAAAGCAAGGATCTAGAGTTATTCTTGATTCCTTTATTTACCATATTCTGCATATATATCCATTATCAATCTTGTCAACAATATCCTCAATTAACCTAATATCCTTATATACATATATAAAATATATATTCTATATGACCTAATATATATAATATAAAATATTGTACCCAATTACTACAAAAACACATTATTTTCAAGTGCTTATGGAACATTTTACAAATATTTTTGTAAAGCAGACTCACAGATAAAATAAAATATGTTCTCTAATCTCAATGGAAATTTAATTTGAAATCATAAACCAAAAGATAACTAGAAAATCCCCAAATGTTGGTAAATTAAGCAATATGCTGCTAAACAATCAATGGTTCAAAGAAGAAATCCAACAATGCCTGGAGAGTATCTTCTCATGAAAGGTGGAATTCTAAGGGACATTGCTGAAATGCTTCTAAGCATATGGTTGTTCCTTCTTCTGACCAAGACAGTCTTACATTTTTCCCTCGACTTTATTAGAATTTAGGCAGGTTTCTTCCTAACAATAAGCCCCTGACTTCACTTTTCTCAGACCATTGCTTTTTTAAAACTTGCAATTGTGAGTTCTTTCTCTGCACTTTTGAGAAGTAAATCTTCTATACCAGGAAAGTCTTTCTCAAGGGCCTGGAGGCCATTTCTTTGAAATGTAGTCATCAAAAAAGATAGTATTAATACCTTTATCTACCAGTCTCTGTGGGAGAGTAGGAGCCTAACATCAATAAAAAACAATTAGAAAACACAGATGGCTTAATCAAATAGACAAACCTCTTTTCTTAATGTCCTTCAGTACTATTCCATTAGTTCATCTCAGCATTAGTTCATCTCAGCATTTTCTGCCTTTTGTTTCACTGGAGTTGAGGCTAATCTCTTTCCCCTACTGCAACAGTCTTTCTCCCATACTGCAATAGTCTTGAATAAAGTCTTCCTTGCCTGCTTAATCTGCCTGGTGCTATTGTTCTTTAACGTTCCTAACCCATAGCTTCCAGAAAATCCTTCAGGTAGATATTATGGTTCAATAAATAATCACATTTCTCCACACTCCCTCTATGGAAGGAGTACCCCTTCTATTAAGTTTGAATTTAGCCATGTGACTTGCTTCAGTTAATGGAAAGCATTTATGTGAACAGATGGAAATAAACCATCTCTAAACAGAGCCTTAAAAGTGTTTCCATGGTTTGGCTTGGCTCATGCTATTTCCGCCCCCATCTCCTACACCCCATGCTATAAGAAAAGTATTGTCCAGGTAGATATTGAGTCCCTAATGAGATATTCTGAGAGATCCCAGGCCTAGAGTCTGAAATCTGGAGCAGAGCTGCTACAGGAAATGTTCAGACCATTGAGTGGGAAATAAGTGTACTTAGAAGCCAATAAGATTTTGTGATTGTGAGGATAATTCAACATATTTTCAGTAAGTTCATTGAAATTCACTTTTCAATAAATTAGTCATGGATATTACATAGCTCTGAAGCCCCACTTTGTTTTCCTCATTTTATTCTGTGGCACCCTAGACAAAGACCCAAATACTTTAAATGGCCTACAAAGCCTTCTGTGGTGTATCCTCTTCTCCTTTCTTTAGCCTCACCTTCCTTTCATTTTCTTTCCTTTCTCTGTACACTAGCCACAGTGACATTCTTTCCATTTTCCTAATACAATGTGTTTCTTCCCTCTGCAAAACGTTTGTTCTTACTACATTTTTCCACTCTAGAATATTGTCAGCTGCACAAGCCCCTCACCCTTCATTTACTTACTAAATTTACTTAATAAATATATTACTTAACCTTCAGATCTCCCCTTAAATTCCTCCATCAGTGAACTCTTTCCTGACCTTTGCTCAAGATTTAAGTTTCCATTAATATGAAGATTTCTAAGCTCATTTTATTTGCCTACTGTCTTAGTCCATTTGGCACTGCCATAAAGGTGGCTGGGTAATTTATAAACAGTCTGGGTAATTTATAAAGAGAAGGAGTTTATTTGGCTCACAGTTTTGCGGGCTGTACAAGAAGCCTGGCACTAGCGTTTGCTTCTGGTCAGGGCCTCAGGAGACCTTTAATCATGGCAAAGGGGCTGCAGATTTGTCACATGGCTAGAAAGAGAGGAAGAGAAGTGAAGATGGGCACTGTGCTCTTTTAAACAACCTGCTCTCACATGAACTAACAGAGTGAGAATTCAATCGTTACCGCAGGGAGGGCGCCAAGCTATTCATGAGGGCTCCTGCCCCATGACCCAAACACTTCCCACTAGGCCCCACCTCCAACACTGGGGACCAGATTTCAACATGAGATTTGGAGGGGACAAATATTCAAACTATATTTTAATTTCAGAGCACCCATTTCACTTTTTAATTACATGCTTTCATTATTATTATTATTTACTCAATTCCTGTCTTAGCCACTATAATGTAAGCCACAAAAGAAAAGGGGCCATGTATAATTTTACTCATCATTTTATCTGTGGTACCTGCACACAGTATAGCACAAAGCAGGGACTCAGACAGCTCTTATGCATGAGTGAAGATTCAAACCCAGCTGCTAGGACACAAGTCCTTTCCTTCTTTTACTATTCTATGCAGTAGAACGTTTATCCTCATATATTATATAAAGATGTTTACTTTTTTTTGTTTTGAACTTATGCTCAGTTTTTATGATAGTACATATTACTTATCTAAAATTTTGTAAAGTTTTTGCCTAAATATACTGTTATTTTGGATAAGTTCTGACTATTTCTCTGAATTCTTAAGAACATTTAAATGTTAATCTGTTTTCTAAGGTGATGACTTCTATTTGTCCATGGACCAATTCCTTGTCTTATCATCATGATTTTTACTCACAGTTAAAGAGTATATCTAGCAGTTCGTCACTGATGAAGGTGTTCTACAAAATGTCAAAGGTTTGCCCTAAATCCCTCTTGTGGTAGTTTAAGGCTATTTCTACTTTGGACATTGTACTTGTAAATGGCTATATTAGAGGTGATCTTTGTATATGTGTAACAGTAAAATTCATAATGTTTGTACTTACTATTCCTTTGAAAGAAAATAAAGTCTAGCTTTCTTTAAATATATACTTACTTGTAGTTACCCAGAGATTAATATATTTGAGGCTGATTGTGAATTAAAGAGGAACAAGTGTATACAGTCTGGAATGTAAAGACCTTGTGATGTCTGTGCTAGTCAATGTGTATTGTAGAAGTGTCCCTAACAAAAACAGAGAAATCAGTTATCCTGCATTGCCATTCAGCTTAAATTAGGATTGTATTGTAAAAGTGTCCCTAACAAAAACAGAGAAATCAGTTATCCTGCATTGCCATTCAGCTTAAATTAGGATTCTGATATTAATTTGAAAGTTTAATTAAGCTTAGAAGTTTAGCCTATTCTAAAGTAACATTTTAATTTCTCTATGATTCTAGCCTTTGATGATTGTTCACTGAAGACACAAACAGTCCCCAAAATCCAAGTGAACAGTAAAACAGACAGGCAAACAAAAAACCCTCTAACTATGGAGAAAAAAATGTTAAATTTAAAATAATACAAGTAAAATAACTGAAATATAAATACTCATACAAGCAACAGCTACCAACCAGTAGATTTTTAAAAAAACCTTACCTTTTAAAGTATTTAAGCTGATCTATCTAAGAAATAAAATAAAACCAAAATATGTTTTAATGCCACATGTCCACAACCAAACTGAGAACCAGGAATCAAAACTGACTGAATCATATATTTAAAAATAGTTTACTAAAACTTTTCAAGAAAAAGAAAAGGAAACCGCAGATTAAAGAACAGAAGTGCTCCAGTGAAGATTGGTAGAAGAACAAATCTTATTATAATTTCCCAAGTCTAGGATGCTTTTAAAAGATACCCACTACTATTTTATGAGAAAATTAAATGGTGTCTAACTAAAAAGAAGTGTTACTACACTAAATTACTGAGTATGTTTTTCTAAAAATTGGTATAGATGAAAAATATTTAAAAATTGGAAGTCTTTAGATAAATCTGTTGACAACTCCATAGTACATGAATTAAGTCAGTATTTTCCAAACTGTATTTCACTTAGAGATTTTATCATGTTGATTTACAAATAGATTACCTATGAAATACATTTGTGAAATGCTACATGTATGATAATCTTCTCTGAAGATTATAATGCACATTTCCAGAAAACCTATTTAGTTTGACAAATCCATTTTTCTAAATTTTATTTGACAGAGTAATTTTTTTCCAAGGGAACAATTCAGTGTTCTGGAGCATATCATATAAAATTAAATTAAGTTAGGGGAACACAGGTAACATGGACTACATCCTTGGCCTTTATGATATCAAAGTGGAAGTGTGTGTGTGTGTGTGTGTGCATTATTTTGAAAGACCAACAATGTAAGTATGAACTATTTATTTTTTGAAGTTGTCACCTATAAGGGGATAAAAAAATAGAGTTCAGGGTGTGAGCTATCAACTAGATTTACTTAAATATAATTTGTTTTGTATTTTTTCATTGAACCATGTAAATATTTTGGGTAATTAGAAAATAAAATCCAATTTTCAATAAAAAGCTTTTAAAATCACAAAATAATATGAAATAAATAGATCCAAATGTGTATCCAGTCACTGGTATAGCCACACTGCGAACAGCAGTTCCAAGCGATTTTAAAACACAATAATTTGCACACGCCTAGTGAGCTATAATCTAAGGAACTGCAAAAGAACTGCAAAAAAAAAAACATTAACTGCTGTCAATAATAATAATGTTGGTAGCAGTGTTTGTATTGTAGATATTCTTGTGTGTTTTTTATAGGATAAAACAAATGTGTAATTTTGTGATATAAATTTGTGATATAATTTTGATATATAGTCATCTCTTGTTTTCATGACACATGGGATGCTTCACATGGAAGAAGGATGTACAGATGTAAGAAGTAATTAAAAATTCAGAAACCTTAAATTTCCATTGTAAAAGCCAGTATGAACTGAAAATATATTTTATATTCAAAATCAAAACAAAACATATTTCCTATACTGTCAACTAAAAAAAGCAAAAAACCAAAACAAACCCAGCTTGGTAGCAATAAAATCCCCTGGCACCCAGATTAAGGGCTTGCAATACTAAGGCAATCAGAACTTGGAGGAGTGGTTGATTCCAGATCTAAGGTATTAAAGTATGTCCCTGACCAACAGGCAAAGTGGACCCCCGTGGCTAACTGAGATGTCTATATTTAAGACAGAACCTGGTGGCCATAGCTGGGTAAGGGAGTGGTCACCTACTCTTGTGTTCTCAGAAAGACGTTATAAAAGTATCACAGGACTTCCTTTCTATAATAAAGTCAAATCAGTTCCTGTTGTAGGTGCCAAGATAAGTTGTTGCCTGATTCACTCCCCAGTCCCACAGTGGCTTTTTGAAAAAAAAAAAAAAAAAAATATCTGGGCCAAGTGAGGTGGCTCACGCCTGTAATCCCAGCACTTTGGGAGGCCGAGGTGGGCAGATTTCTTGAGCCCAGGAGTTCAAGACCAGCCTGGGCAACACAGCAAGACCACATCTCTACAAAAAAAATACAGAAAATTAGCCAGGTATGATGGTGGGTGCCTGTGGTCCTAGCTACTTGGGATGCTCAGGTGGGAGGATCACTTGAGCCTGGGAGGTAGAAGATGCAGTGTGCCATAAGCATTTCACCGCATTCCAGCCTAGGTGACAGAGTGAGACCCTGTCTAAAAAAGAGAAAGAGAAAGGGAAAGGGAAGGGAAGGGAAGAAGGGGAGGGGAGGGGAGGGAGAAAGAAAGAGAAAAAAAGGAAAAAGAAAAAGACAAAATACCTAACAGAGACCTCTGGTTTTGGGCTTGGAAACCAACCAATCAGAGCTCCCTTGACCCAGCCAATCAGGGCTCAGTTCTATCAACCAATCAGAACTAAGCAAGTTTCAATCCTCCATTTGTATAAACAAACCTTATTGGGAAACTGAGCAGGAACTTTTGCTATAAAACCTGAATACTTGACCAGGCACAGTGGCTCATGCCTGTAATTCCAGCACATTGGGAGGCTGAGGCAAATGGATCACTTAAGGTCAGGAGTTTGAGACTAGCCTGACCAACATGATGAAACCTCCATCTCTACTAAAAATACAAAATTAGCCAGGCATGGTGATACATGCCTGTAATCCCAGCTACTTGGGAGGCCGAGGCAGGAGAATAGCTTGAATCCAGAGTGGGAGGTTGCAGTGAGCTGAGGTCGGGCCATTGCACTCCAGCCTGGGCAACAAGAGTGAAACTCCATCTCAAAAACAAACAAAAAAAAGAATATATATATATATATAAAACCTGAATCCTCTCTCTATTGTCTGGAATGTACTTTCATTACAAGAAGGCTGTGTCTCCCCTGGTTTGCAAACTCTTCACTGGAATAAAGTCTCTTTCCTTCAGATTTGTTTTTTGAGAACTTTTGTTCAAAGAGGTAAGTTATATATAAGTGGGTGCGGTATAAAAAAATCAGATTCATCTTGAGTTGATAACTGTTGAAACTGGATTATGTATGTGTAGCAGTTCATTATACTCTTTCATCTAGTTTTGTACATATTTGAAGTTTTTCATAATAAAAACAAAATAAAACAAAAACAGATTACACAGTTTGCTGGGATGCAAAATATTACAATGTGGAGTGTCCATAAATGTTTCAAAATCTACAGAAGACACAATTTTTAAGCAGATATAAAGAATTACATTGTAACAGGAAATTAAATAACCTTTGCAATTATTGTCTCAGTAATTTTTACTTCGAAAAAGACCAAGGTCTTTCAGTTGGTAGGTGTTCAGTAACTGGTTGCAGAATTTAAAATGGTGACATATTTCTCTTCAAATCTCCTATAAAATTCTCAGAACACCAACAAATTAAAAAAAAAACACTTTGTTTTGAACTTCAAATATTCTGAATATATAAATAGAAATCAACTACTGTATAAAATATTCATAACACCAGAGGCTTAAAAATGTAAATTATTAGAAACATTAAATCACTGATGTGATTACAGAATGGCATTTTATAAAAATAGGGCAGCAACAATTAGAATCATACTAGATAATAACTATCTACAATGTGGAAAAAATTTCTTTCTCTAAGGCACCAAATTAAAGTGTAAGAAGATGAATAACACATATTTAGTCCATTAAAGAGAAAAGAAGGGGAGACAGATTTACATTTGTTATCTTAATTAATCCTCGACAACACCAAGTGCTCATTCTACTATACCATGCTATTTCTACTTTTCTATATATAAACTAAATAGCATGTTAATTACCTAATATGTCTGCTTATTGTCAAGCCATAAGAAAATAAATCTATAGTACTTTGTATTTAGCACAAAAATATAAAGATATTTGATTATTTTAATAAAGAAAGACTAACTTAAGATAGATAAATGGTTTTATTTTTTTCTTACCAATGAGATTTTCAATTCATGCTCACCCTGGTTTCTAAAAGAATGTGCAAAGAATTCTGAAAGAATGTCATAGTGAGGGGAGCAACAAGGTTATCCTTGTGTGGTGAAAATCTATGGAAGGTTGTCATTGGCTGAGCAAAACAGCATAGTGGAAGCTGAAACCAATACATCAAAAGATAACTGTACTTCAAGTTCATTAACACACTGGTGAGAATTGCTTGAAGTAATAACTGACAATATCTGTGAGTCCTAACTTTGAAAACTTAACTATCACAGAGCAAGCCTTACCTTTATACTTTATTTCTTCTTATATTTTAATTCATGTTTCTTGAGGAAAGGGTCAATAATAGGAATTCTTATAAGAATGAATGCTCTGAGCTAGAGGATGCTTTAAAAAATATATTTGGATTCTGAAAGAAGTCACAGGAATGTGGAAGATAATATTTCATCTATGAAATAGACTGAAAGTTTTGTCCTTCCCAAACTCAAATATTGAAACCCTCACCCCTAACGTGATGGCATTAGGAGGTGGGGCCTTTGGAAAATAATTATACTTAGATGAGATCATAGGAGTAGAACCCCCATGATGGGATTAATATACTTAGAAGGAGAGAAAGAGACCAGAGTCACTCTTTCTTTGCCATATGAGGTTACAGCAAGAAGGCTGACGTTTGCAAATCAGGAAGAGAGCCCTCACCAGGAACTGCATTATTGTTTAAGCCACTCAGTCTATGTAATTTTATTATTGCAGCCCAAGCTGACCAAGATATCCTATAAATATTCATTCATTCAATCAAAAACTAATTATTGACTGATTACTATGTGGCTGTAATCACAAGTCTGGGAACTAGCCACACAAAAAGACTAGCAAAACTGTTTTCAAAATATATCCCCTAAGAAGGAGTGTCCAGTATATAAAAACAAATAAATAAACAAGATAGTTTCAGTTAGTTATAAGTGCTGTTAAAATATAAAGCAAGCAACAAAGCAGAGAATGACTTGAGGGACTACTTCAAATTGGATGATGACGCGAAGCCTCTTGGAGGTGACATGTGAACAAAGAACTAATTAATAAAGAGGAGCAAACTATTTGCAAGATCTAGGGGAAAGCATTCTAGGCTCGGGGAACACCTAGTGCAAATGCCTTTCCTAACAACCCTCAGCTTTGAAACTCATGGCCTTTGACGGTACCATCCAGTACTGCTTCTTGTTGCAATTACCTACTAGTTTCTCAGACATCTTTGCCCACTGTCACAATCTCCAATGCTAATTTTATTGTAATTTTTGGCAGTTCCAATAGCTATACACATGGCTCCTCTGAAACACTGACCTTTTAGTTATTGACTTCCTATCATTTGGTAATTTTGTCATCCATGCCACTGCAGCTCCTATGGTTACACCAATGAGGACACTCCCCTTATAATCTCAATTTCTAGCACTGTACTCTCTGACTATGGCCTTCTTTCTTCCCAGATCACTCGCTCTAAGTTCCTTAACTCCAATGGTTCTACCACACCAAGACCTAAAATCCATAGATCCTACTACCTGCTCCCTCACCCCCAACTCATGCTCTTACTATTTTCCTTATTTGGCTTAAATTTCATGACACATTACAAAAATCACTTCATTATATAAAACTCCCTTGCTCCTCTCCTGCTTCACTGTATCCTTGACTGGATCCAACCCTAGTTAAAATCAGTTACACCTTTTCTGTGCTTGCAACTATGTATCTAAATGTGGCTAGAAAAACAAAACACACCATATAATCATACAGAATGTTTTCACTTTACATTTATGAACAATCTCCTGAAATTGAACCAACCAAACCATTCATTGCTCCCATTCTTCTAGATTAGTATTTCAAACTTAACTCTTCTCTCCTTAAGCTATTAATATCCCTTCCCTCAATTCCACCCTTACTAGGCAAGTACCATATAATAATAAGGGTCTACAAGACTGTATTCTACAAGATCAAAACTTCCCCCTTATACATAAGATCTTATCCCTCTCACCTACTCTAATCACTCCAGGAAGTCTCCCCTTTTTAATTTTTGTAGAGACAGGGTCTCGCTCTGTCACTGAGGTTTAAATGCACTGGTACAATCATAGCTCACTGTAATCTCAAACTCCTAGGCTCAAGGTATCCTCTGCTTCCACCTCCCAAGTAGTTGGGATTGTAACACCAAGCCCAGCTGTTTTTTTTTAATTAAATATTTTGTAGAGAGAGGATCTCACTATGTTCCCTAGCTGATCCCAAACTCCCGGCCCCAAGCAATCCTCCCACCTTAGCCTCCCAAAGTACTAGGATTATCATGTGACCCGCCTTGCCCAGCTCTTTTTCTTCTTGTATCATCAATGTTTTCCAACACCCATTGTTAATTCCTATCAACACACAAACTTGCTATTACTTCTCTTTTCCCAGATAAGTTTCTTTGGAAGAATAAATAAATAAGAAATAAGAAAATGAAAAAGTATTTTTATTTCTGGAATAAATAAATAAATAGTAAGAACAACCAAGCCATTTCTTTTTCTTTTCTTCTTTTTTTTTTTTTTTTTTTTTTTTTTTTTTTTTTTTGAGGTGGGGTCTCACTCTGTTGCCCTGGATGGAATGCAGTGGAAAAATCATGGTTCACTGCAGCTTCAACTTCCTAGGCCCAAGCAATCCTCCCACCTCAGCCTCTCAAGTAACTGGGACTACAGGCATATGCCACCATGCCCAGCTAACTTTTTTATGTTTTGTAGAGGCAGAGTCTCACTATGTTGTCCAGGCTGATCATGACTGGGCTCCAGGGATATTCCACCTTGGCTTCCCAAAGTGCCGGGATTACAGCACCCAGCCTCAACCAAGAAATTTTTTTAAATGTATAGAAATCAGTTTTAAAATATGAGGACATATTATAAAGCAACAACGATATTGAAAATGGTACTAATAGAAGGCATAGAGTTCTTTTTCACAGAGTAGAGGTACAGAAAGGGACCTAATAATAGATGTGATAAAGCAAAAAAGAATACAGGTAGATTTAATTTTTAAAACTATGAACATAACATTGACAACTGGAGAAAAAACTTGCAACATAAATACTAGAAAAAGAGAAAATATCATCAAAATACAAATAACTGTTAGAAATGATTGCTCAAAAGAAAAACCTGGCAATGCATGATTAAGAAATGCAAAAGAAGATACAGTTGCTCTCTGTATATGCGCTTTCCACATCCACAGATTCAAACAACTGTGGATAAAAAAGGATTTTTCAAAACCATTAAAAAACAATGCAACAGTAAAAAAAAGTACAAATAAAAAAATACAGTATAACAACTATTTACATAGCATTTACATTGTATTAGGAATTGTAAGTAATGTAGACATGATTTAAAGTATGCAGGAGAATGTGCATTGGTTATATGAAAATACCATGTCATTTCATAAAAGGGACTTGAACATTGTGAATTTTGATACCTGTAACGGTGCTGAAATCAATTTCCCTGTAGATACAAGGGATGACTATAGGGATAGCCAGTAGTATATGAAAGGTATTTAGCCTTGCCAATATATAATAATGTAAAACAAAACCAAAAAATGAGGTACTATTATGACTTATGTATTTAACTTATTTAAACATATATTATAATTTATCCTATATATGTGTATATGCACACACATCTATAGTGTACCAAATATTGTGAAGCATAGAAGAACATGAGGGCTTTCATACTGGTGGAATATCAACTGATAACTTTCTGAAGGTAATTTAACGATATGAAGCAAAGTTTAAAAAATTTGATTTTCATAACAGTGAATAATAGAAACAATATAAATTTCCAACAATAGGAGATGAATTAAATTATAATATATCCTTATATTAAAATGTTATAGAACAATTAAAATTCATAATATTGAAGAACATGTAAGCATATTTGATGTTGCTCCAGACACTGTCAAATCTATGTGCAGGTTATAAAATAGTGTGAAATATATAGTCTCAATTTTCTAAAATATCTGTTACAAAAAATGCATCAGAAAAATAATGATATGGTTTGGCTATGTCGCCACCCAAATCTCATCTTGAATTGTAGTTCCCATAATCCCCACGTGTTATAGGAGGGACCTATTGGGAGGTAACTGAATCATGGGAGCAGTTACGTCCACGTTGCTCTCTGGATAGTGAGTGAGTTCTCACGAGATCTCATGGTTTTATAAGGGGCTTTTCCCCTCTTGCTTGGCACTTCTTCTTGCTGCCACCATGTGAAGAAGGACGTGTTTGCTTCCCCTTCCGCCATGATTGTGAGGCCTCCCCAGCCACGTGGAACTGTGAGTCTATTAAACCTCTTTTTTTCTTTATAAATTATCCAGTCTTGGGTATTTCTTCATAGCAGTATGAAAACTGACTAATAAAAATAATGATAAGATAGGAGAATAAAGAGAGTGGCTATTTCTGAGTCATGGAGTTATAGGTCATTGTAATTTTCTTCAGCATTTTCCTCTTTTTTATAGCAGTATATTCAGAAAGTTAAGAAAGCAACAAATAGTGAAGATGAAGAAGATGAAAAGGAAGGAGATGAGGAGGAGGGAAGAATAAGGTTTGCCTCTCTTCACTCCTTTTAGTGGGAATTGGTCAAAATTACTAGAGCTTCAGAGTATTCACATGGTTGCAGGCCCCTGCAAGGTAAAATTAACATGGCAGGATTGTGGTCAACCCCACTCTTTCCTCACCATAACTACCACTACCATATGTGAAGATATTTAATTATGAAAACCACCAAAGGCAATGACATATACTCTGGTAATGAAGGGATTCTAGGTTCTACATTCCAATCATGTAGCTTGGGCAGTCACAGAATATTTTTAAACTTCAGTTTTAATTATAACATAAATTGATTGAATGAGATAATCTCATTACCTTAGTACCTTAATTACCCGTTTGTTTTATTTAGTAATATTGAGGAAAATAAGGAGAAACAAATTCTGTTTTTATAAATCAAGGGTATCTAAAAAGAAAGTGTTCTAGAGTTTAAAATGTTATGTTTAAAATGTTTTTGTCTTTAACTTTTGTGAAACCATTGTAAAACATTAAGTAATAATCATCAAAATTATGGAAACTTCCTGGAATCAAGATTAGAATTATAAACAATATACTATACCGTAGAATTGTCTTATTTGAAGTTGGATAAAATAACCACTAGTTGAAGTTGACACCTGGATCACATTCATTAACATCAGCACTAAGGGGAGAATGTGAGGTAAGCCCGATCCTCTACGTAGATATTTTTTAAAAACAGACATTTTTTCAAAATCATATAAGGACAGTTTCTACCACTTAAAATGTTTTAATGCCTTTACATAATCGACATTCATTAAGGGTTTTCTAGAGCATATAAGGAAAGAACCTTAAAATCCCAAGGTTATAGTCTCTTGAGATTCTACTCAAGCAACAGAGTATTATTCAAAGGACAATGAATGTGCTACACACGTTGTAGTTCTGAAACAGTGAATTTAGGACAAGTTAAATTGCACCAAGGCATGGGCTAATAAACATCAAACAAAGCAGTCATTGTAAGCCAAGGCTCATCTATTATAAACACGTGACCATACAGGGCATAATAAAGCCTTTGTTTCTGTGTTAGTGCACAGTTGTCAAGGAGAATTATATATTCCAAATTTATTTTGTTAATGGCTCATAAAAAAACTTAATAAAATGTTTTGTAAATACTTTACAAATTTAAATTTAAGAATAAAAACATCAAGAAGATGAAAAAAATTCACTCCAGTAGAACTCAGATAAATACGAATAAATAATGATAATAAAAATGGCTTCAATTTGAGAACCACAAAATATGGGTCACAAGATTCTGAAGATGTGCTTTGTCAATTAGCACCTTCTTATAGTAAACGCTTTAATTTATGAGGCTCTTTAGAGACCATATAATTTCATCTGACCAATGTAACAACACTTGGAGGTCAATAGGTAGATGTTATCGCTACTTAGCAGAGAAGAAGCTATGGCTCTGCAGGATTCTTTCCTTAACTCATATAACTGGTAATGCTGTGGGTCTGATACCACAGTCTTCTGACACCCTAGTATATTGTTGTTTTCACTGAATTATAGTGTTTCTTTACAAAATCCTTGTTCATGTAAAAGCCATAAACTGAAAACCAGGGTTGCCTGGTTTACAGTTTCTCATGGTTTCCTCTTGTGATGTAATCTAAACACTTTGTGAATTTCTCTTAGCTCTGCAGTGCCCTGGAGACACCTCCTTTATTTCTCTCTCTCCTTTGACTCCTTCTCCTGATACAAAATTTCCAGGCTAAAAGAAAGAACCTAACCTAGAATGTAAGAAATTTGAGGATAGAAATTTTTGTCTATATGTTTTCCACAATGTCCATTTTGTCCAAGGCTACTGGGAATAGTGTCTGGCACACAGGAGATACTTAGTTAACTTTTATAAAAACATAAAACTTCCTCTGACTCAGTTTAAACTATTAACATCCCAGGATGTTTCATTTCACTCTCATAGTCAAATATATCAAATCTGCAGCCAACACTATTGTAATTTCAAACCCATCACTCTTCTGAAATAATTCCCAGTTAGATAATCAATAACTTCCTAACTTTAAAAAATGCAGTGGTCTCTTTTTGGTCTTCATCCTATTAGATTCCATTTAAAAACTGAACACTCTATAAATGTCCATTTTGTCATTGCCATTGCTGTTTGATCCTACTTTTCTTTACCCATCTTTGTTTTCTTCCTCCTGTGCTGGCTCCTCTTCCATTATTTAAACAAATAATGAAATTCTTCAAGTTATGACCTTGGCTTCTTCTCACTCTGCTAGTTCTCCCTGGCCATATATTTTACACCATGGTTTAAATTACCATATCTGTGCCATAAATACCCAAATCTATCTCTAGACTTCATCTCCTGACTGAGCAAAAGGATTAGATATCCTCTCTTCTTGAATGACCAGAGGATCTCAAACATAAGATCCTCAAGATAAATATATTTTCTTTTCTCCAAAGTGCCTTTTCTTGAGTTGTCTCATTTCTCTTCCCTTAGTAGCATTTTTCCTCTTTTCTGATTCTCAACTGGTGTCCATGCTTTTTAATTTATTTTTTATTTTTTATTTTCAAAATAGAGATGGGGGTCTCACTATCTTGCCTAGACTGTTCTTAAACTCCTGGGTTCAAGCGATCCTCTGGCCTCAGCCTCCCAAAGAGCTGAGATTACAGGTGTGAGCCACCATGCACAGCTAATACCCATGCTTTCTAATTCTTTTTTAAAAAACGCAATCAAAAGAGAACTTTCAAATATCACCAGCACCACACCCACCAACTAACTTTCATCTGTATTCATGCATCATGTCTTTTCTTCTGTTAAAATACATGAGCTTCCCTACTTTACCTACAGTGAATCCCTCCCTATATATTAGAACACATCCATACCTTTATATCTACTTAGAGGCAATGCTCCAGAATATTCCCCTCCTGCCTCATTGATAATTCCTCTCTAGTAGATGAACTCATCATCATGCAAACCTGATTTTTAAAAAACTTTCCATCTTAGAAGTGACAATCAGCCTTCCTAGATCCCACATCCTCATCCAGTTACTGTCCCATTTTTCTGCTTTCCTTTATAGCAACATTTAAGAGCTGTTAATACTGTCTCCATTCCTCTCATTCTTCTGAACCAATTCAATCAGGCTTATCTTCTTAACACTCCAGGAAATAGCTCTTTTCACAGCCTCAGTGACCTCTACACCACCAAATTAAAGGTCCAAACTTCAGTTCTCATCTTATAGGGACTAGTAGGAGAATTTGAGACAGTGGATCACTCCTTCCTTCTTGAGAGTCAGAACTTCCTAACCACATACGTAAAATAGTGAAAAACCTCATCCCTAACACCCTAGACTCCAACTCTTCTCTTTCACCAGGCTCTCCCCCTCACACCGCTTCACTGAAGCCCTGCACAACACCTATTGCCACGACATATAGATTTACTTTTCATGAAATGTAAACTCTGTGATTTTGGTCATGTTACTTAACCTATCAGAACTTTATTTTCTATTATCCATGAAAATGGCATGATTATAAATAAGCTGGTTGCCTGAGTGGTTTCAAGGATTAAATGAAAAAAAAAATAAAAAAACAAAACACAAAAAACAAAACCACATATGTAACTACTACTATTACCATTGTATAGATAGTTCCTCATTTTCTTTATGACCTCACCCTAGTCCTACCAGGTTATTAACAAAAAAAATATTGAATTATACTTATATTCTGGCTCTTATTTACCCAGAGGAAGTCTTATTTTGTTCATTTGAAAGACGTCTCAAGTAGTACTAACATACATCACAATATCTGTACACTCCTGTGCAGGACTAAGCATAAGGATAAAAAAAGAAATATTTTTTCAGTCAAAGAAATCAGTGAATTGTGGTGTGTTAACTGAAAGGTGGACAATAGAGGTATAGGCTGTTTACTGTACATTCAGTTTGCTACAATGACTGGTCCACTATGTGAAATCAATGACTATTAATTTATAATGATTAACCTTAAATCTTTAAGAAGACACAGCTCTATACAAGTATTATATAGCTCAGTCTCTCAATGATTCTTACAAAATGAAAAAGAATTCCAGGGAGATAATAAAGTATTGGTGCTTTTCAGATAGCACTAATAAATCAGGAGAACACCAGGTTAATCATTCCTATAACAATGCAAAGAAGCAAACTGAAATAATTCACTAATATCAAAGAATACTGTGGTATAAAACCAGGTAAAAGAACCTCAGGGGTGTTTTGTCTGTTTTCAAGTCTAGCACATTTTAATTTTAACTTAGCAAGAAAACATAGATAAAAAATATATATCGCACTTAAAATTTTTAGACTACTGCTTATTGTCAAAGCATTTTCTCTTCCACTAAATTGTTTCTACAGCTTTATTTCTTTGACTTTATCCCATTTTTTTAAGCATAGTAATCTCCAATTAGGTCTGTCATAGACAAATCATTAATTAAATCAGTAAGCAAATAGATTTAACAAAACAGCAATACAAAAGACTTTAGGAACAAACACATTAACATTACTTTTTGTGATTAAATGAATACACTGAGGATAAAAGCCAAAGTTCTATTTAAATAAAGTTTTGATTTTACATTGTGTTTTAAATAGCTTAGCAACAACAATGTAAATAAGCACAACAGTTTTCAAGTACAACAACTATTTCAGCAAGGAAATAAATATTCTGAGAATATGTACAATAAGTGTGCACAATCAATCTTTAGAAAGTTTTAATTATTTCAGCAGATTTTGAGACTGTGTTATATAATTTACCAGGGCTTAGAAATCCCACTCTGTCCCTCACTATTTGTGAGAATTTAGCAAGCTACTATGCCATGGCCATCTCAGTTTCCTCTTCTGTAAAAGAATCTTACCTACCTCACGAGTTTGTTGCAGGGATTAATGATGAATTTTTATGTAAATAAAATGGAGTTACCCTTCATTCTACCTTCTTCAACCCTACAGACAGTCCCTTCCAATGTCTCTCACCTAACAGTTAACAATGAACCTGGCTTCTGCTCAGATATTCATTTATATCCCATCTATTATTTTATTCCCCAGTAAGTCTTCTTGTGTGCACTCTTATTCCCTCAAAACATACTAAAAACCACTGCCTAAAGCACCAAATTGTACATTCCATGGTCCTCTTCAAATATTTGCATTTAATACGACTGCCTACAGGATGAAGTACAAACTTCTGAACTTCGTATTTTATGCCCTCCACAATGTGGGTCTCTCTGCCTGCACAGAGATCTAATTTAGTATCTAATACTCTCCTTTCATGAATACACCATTTCACTCAACTCAGACTACTGATTGCTGAGAAAGAAGTCATGCAAATTGAAGCCTTTGTTACCAAAGTAGTTTTTTGTTGCTTGTAATGTACTTGTCTTTATTTGTATCTCAACTTCCTATTAAGAAACACTTTTTTTTGGCATCAAATCACAGTCAAGTCCATCGACATTAATATGGCTAATTTTTCTTACCACTCCGTGTGTTATTATTTATTCTGTTAATTTACAACAATATCTTCCTGACTAGATTCCTTACTTCCTCTCCCCTCTGCAAGCTATTCTCCATCCAGCAGCCAAACTGATATTTTAAAAGTGCAAATAGTATTAGGTAACAGCTCCACTTAAAATCCACTAGTGGGTCCACATACTTAGAACACAAGGCAAAAGCATCATGCATCACTGTGCACCAGGCCAGCCACCTCATCACTTGTGCTCTGGAATTTATCACTTGGCTTTTGCTCACTAGGCTCCTGGCATGTTGTATTTTATCATCTTTTTTTGTCTATAATTCTTCTCCCATGTCTTTGCACGGCTTGCTTCTCTGAAGATACCTTCTCTGACCACCTTATCTAAAATAGTCACTAACACACACACACACACACACACACACATCCCTTCACAAAATATTGGAATACTATTATAATATGTACAAAATTCAACTGGTTTGAAAAAGCGAGATAGAAATGCCATGTATGATAATTACTTCATTTGTAAACTATGCACCCAGTGAGACAAACAAAAACATGAATTTCCCAACTGGAAACTAAATGATAGAGACAGAATGAGTTTTCACATTGATCTATGTTATCAGATTAATTATCTCCATTAGATGTAATGTGTCTAGGCTATATTTGTTACAGTAGATAGTCAGGTAGGAGTGGGGCAGGAGAGGGCTCCCCGTACCCCACCAGGAATGTCAGGCAACCATCAGGTGATGGCCAGGCAGTTGTCACACTGCCTCTCTAAAGTAATAATTGGTTACAGCCAGCATCAGGGAAAGGCAATTTCCTAATAGATAAAAACACCTGAACCTGGTGATTGACAGTTTCCTGATAAGACCTCAGGAACTGGGTGAGTGGGCTCAAGCATGCACACTTCAGAGGCAAAATGGCAGAGTTTAACTGGTATATGACCTTCCGCGGGCATTCCACCGGAAAAGGGAAGAATGCTTCATGTGAACGTGCCTACACCTCCAGTAAGCACACTGCGCATACTCATCTCCCAAGTGTTAGCAGACCACCGTGCATGTAGGCGGTCCACCCCAAGGGAAAAATCAAGGGAAACGGGATGCAAGACCTTGGAAGTATGCCAATATATAAAACCCCAACTCAAAAGATCAAACCCCACACTTTTCCTTCAAGTTACCTATTGGGCCTCTTCCAAAGTACTTTCCTTCCTTTTGTTCCTGCTCTAAAGCTTTTAAATAAACTTTTACTCCTGCTCTTAAACTTACCTTGGTCTCTTTTTCTGCCTTATGCCCCTCAGTCAAATTCTTTCTTCTAAGGAGGCAAGAATTGAGATTGCTGCAGACCCTTATAGATTTGCTGCCAATAATGTATTCATATATGATAATGGCTTATATGGTTGATTCTTTAGTGAATAATAAATACAGAATCAAGCTCGTTAATAAGTATTGGAATAGCCAAGATTATTTGAAGCAGATTTTGATACCTTAAAATGTTTTAACAGTTAAGTATAATTTGGTAGTAGTAAGACTGCTAATATTTGGTCTTTTTTAAAAAGGAGCATTTGATGCCAATACCTGTACCTTGATGGAAAATGACAATAATGCAAGTGAGAATGCCACCAATAATTAAGTTGTTGCATCAATAATTGTTGGAAAGTTGAATATGTTTTACTGTTAAAGTAAATATCAATTCTGTGGAATAGACATTTTGTGATTTATATCCAGTTTCATAAATAGGACTACCTACGTGAGAACTAAACTTTGATTTTTTTCCTTCTCTTGCCCAAATTCCTATCCAAGGGACCAGGGAGTCACTCCCTACAAACCACAAAGTCTCATCAGAGGGGTTTTATTTAACCCTATACAACATACCTTACTTTCCAACCTGACTCTGGCATAACATCACATGACAGATAAGGAAAGAAATCAAAATATTTTAACCCCGAATATGTTTCTTTGCCATATCTTAAAATAGCCCTGCAAAGTTGTCTTCTGTGGGGAAAATACTACATTCTGTAGAGAATTCCCTTGCCCTTTTCCAGGCCTTTTCCCTGATCCAGGAGAGAATTGACTAAGAGGCTGGCACCTTTTTAAGTCTGATAAGAAACATTCACATTCTATTCTCTCTGAAGCCTGCCACCTGGAGGCTTAATTTGTATAGTAAGAACCTTGTTCTCCATAATCCCTTATCTTAACCCAGACATTTTCTTTCTGTTAATTCCAGATCTTTAGATAAACTCTTTCAACCAACTGCCAATCAGGACATCTTTAAATTCACCTATAAGCTGGAAACCTGGCCCCCTTCCAGTTATCCCACCTTTCCAGACAGAACCAATGTACATCTTACATGTATTGACTGATGTCTCATGGCCCCCTAAAATGTATAAAACTTAGCTGTGGGCCGAGCACCTTGGGCACATGTTCTCAGCATCTCCTGAGGGTTGTGTCATAAGCCATGGTCACTCATATTTGGCTCACAATAAATCTCTTCAAATATTTTACAGAGTTTGACTCTTCATCAACATAAGGAAAAATGAGAAACTGATAAAGTCATTTTAGTTCTGAAGATATTTGGCAGAACAAAATGAAGAAAATGTTAACATATCTCCCAGTTGGGAAATAGTCAAGGAAATTTGGTGCAATTCAATATGGGCTTTTTATAGCTGCTAAATACGGTGATTATGAAGATTATGTGACAATATGGATCGCATCAAATATTAAGTGAATGAAGCAGATTATACATTGCTACAGTCCAATCACAAACATGTAAGGAAACATTTGTTTAGGAAACAAAGGGCTGAAAATAAACACATAAAATAAATATGATTATTTTTCCAAATGTTCTCCAAAACAGTAATTTTATTTTCCTGATATGTAACATAGGTGTTAAACGCCTCCATGAGAAGTTCTTGCACCAAAAGATCTCCCTTCCCAATATATCTATGAATCTATCATTAGCAATTTCTCCTCTGGTCATCCTTAAAAACTGCTGTAACAAACAATTCTTTCCACCTTTTAATCCACACGTTCAACCTGAATGCCTTTAACAGCTGT
This sequence comes from Homo sapiens, assembly GCF_000001405.40. Taxonomy (NCBI): domain Eukaryota; kingdom Metazoa; phylum Chordata; class Mammalia; order Primates; family Hominidae; genus Homo; species Homo sapiens. Next base: position 40,744,675 of record NC_000012.12, on the reverse strand, counting down.
CTTTTACGCCCTTAGTTCCCAAATATTTCTTTTCTAACTACTACTTCTATTCTAAGTTTCAGTCCTATGTATTCTAATATCAACTGAAAGATACAGCAGTTTCTTGCAAAGATTTGTAGCATCTTTTGTACAAAAATGTTAACAGGAATTCCTTCAATCACCTGTGGCCCTCTGTAGCATTTTATGCTACCATGCTAGAAAACCTCAGCGCAAATTTCACTTCTTTCTCTACCTTTCCCATCACAACACACCAGTTCCCAAATGCAGGCTATTCCATTCCAGAAATCTACTGAAATTGATGGATCTTTTCCACCCTCATTCCCTTCATGCATTCATCTCCGTGTTTTGTTTTGTTCTTTTATTTTTTTTTTATTTAATTTAATTTAAAGTTCCAGGATACATGTGCAGGACGTGCAAGTTTGTTACATAGGTAAATGTGTGTCATGGTGGTTTGCTGCACCTATCAACCCATCGCCTAGGTATTAAGTCCCACATGCATTTGCTATTTAACCTGATGCTTTCCCTCCCTCTACCCCTGCTACTGACAGGCCCCAGTGTGTATTGTTCCCCTCCTTGTGTCCATGTGTTCTCATTGTTCAGCTTCCACTTATAAGTGAAAACATGTGGTGTTTGGTTTTCTGTTGCTGTGTTAGTTTGCTGAGGATAATGGCTTCTGGCTCCATCCATGTCCCTGCAAAGGACATGATCCCATTCTTTTTCATGGCTGCGTAGTGTTCCATGGCATATATGTGAAACCCAAAACTGTAACAACCCTAGAAGAAAATCTAGGCAATACCATTCAGGACATAGGCACAGGCAAAGATTTCATGATGAAAACATCAAAAGCAATTGCAACCAAAGCAAAAATTAATAAATGGGACTTAATTAAACTAAAGAACTCTGCACAGCAAAACAAACTATCATTAAAGCAAACAGACAACCTACAAAATGGGAGAATATTTTTGCAATCTATCTAATATCCAGAATCTACAAGGAGCTTAAAAAAATTTACAAGAAAAAAAACAAAACAACCCATTACAAAGTGGGCAAAGGACATAAACAAACACTTCTCAAAAGAAGACATTTATGTGGCCAAGAAACATGTTTTGTTTTTTCCTAAACACCCATTCTAAATACTTAGCCTTTGTTACCTAATTTAATCTTTACACCAGTCATATGTATTAGCACCATATTGTTGACAAAACTGATGTACAAAAAGATAAGTAATTTCATAACACAGCTAGTATGTGGCAGAGCTGGCAACCTTAACTATTCCAACAATCTCCCTGCCTCTATGTCACTCATTGCAATTTTTTTTAAAATTATTTTGTCTTGCATTGCCCACATGATTACATTCAAACTCAATAGCATCACAAAGAAAGTCCTTGAATGTCTAGAGCAAGTCTAACTGTCCAAGTTTATCACTTGTCACTCCCGCCCCACACCTTGTGTTCGTTCCAAACTCAATAGAAAGACTCAGGACACAACTGGTCCTTGCCCAACCCCATTGCTTGTGAATACCTCAACTGGTTAGAAAACTGTCCCAATTATTCTCCCTAGACATCCTTCACAACAAGACTCAGACATTTCTTCTTTAATGAAGCCTCCCATTCCCCCGGCCTCAACCTGCAGAATAATTTGTCCTGCTCGCCGCATTCCCATAATACAGTTTTCATATATTTAACTCATTACCTACTGTAAGGTAACAGAATTTAATTACTGGCTATTCCATCTTGCTTACTTAATAATAATCTCATCCAGAGTAGGGATTGGGTCTTACTCATTATTGTATCATTGTCTCATCCAATATTAGTTGCTCATCCACCATATGCTAATGCTTCACTCAGTGCCTGGCATATTTGATTAATGATTGAGGAGGAAAATTATCATAGCACCATGAATCACTTTTTAAGGACTGAAAACTGATTGCTTATAAGGCCTTATAAGAGAATTAATAGCAAAGGCTGACAGGTCTCTAGGAATAGAAGTCAAAGGACATGAGAGAAGACAAGATATAGAAATTAGGGAAGATTGCTTGAGTCCAGAAGTTTGAGGCTGCAGTGAGCTATGATCACACCATGGCACTCTAGCCTGGGCAACAGACTGAAACTCTGTCTCACAGAAAAAAAAAAAATTAAATTAAAAATATACACTTAAAGAAGAAAGATGAAAGAGTTGAAAAGCAGCAAAGACAAACTTTACTCACTTGAAAATGTCATTTCCAAAATATGAAGTAATTAAATGCAAGTGAATTTGGATAGAATTCTCTGCAAAAAAAGACAAACCATTTTCCTCCTTCCCTTTTCGTGTAAATTCAGTTCAGCTGTTGAGCACAAGAACTACTATGGTGAAATACCACTCTACCAAATGCTTTTAGTTTTAGCCCATTTAAGCTATTGTAAACTCAACTTGGCAGTCACCTTGCTGAACAGTGAAAGAGCAGGATAAATGAAACTTTCCTGAAGTTCTTTTTATCATTGAACAGTAGGAGAGCATTATTGGCTTCATTCAGTTGTGGCTAGGTTACACGGGTTATATTTTAAGTACTTTAGGCCAAAATCCCACTGTAATGTGATATTATTGGGTCAGTTTGTCTGACTTGAGAAAAAGCCCTATTATAAATAGAAGGAGTTTTGTCTCATTTCTTCAGAATATATATACAAAACTCTTGGAAGTTTTGAAAGCTTAGACTTTTTCCCCCTACAGTAAAGAGGGAAAGAAAGGAAAATAAATTCTGCTTCTCAAAGAAAAAATAAAAAAACATAATAGCAAGTTCAAATGTATTCAATTAGAAATGATAATACATTATGAATTCATTTCTAGAATTTTCAAAAATTTTCCATTAAAATTTATTTCATCTAATAATAGTTGTTATTTGTAAATATCCATCACAAAAGATAAGTAAAAATAGGATAAATACTTGTATCAAGGAAAATAAGTCTGAAGTGAAATGATATAATGTCTACTTCTCTGAGATTTGGCATTTACTAGTGGTAACTCAATGTCACATTTCATCATCTGTAAAATAGAATTAATGCCTAATGCACATACTATTTCAAGTATTAAGTTGATATTTATAATATCCGGTGCAAATAGTTGCTCAATAGATGTCATTTAAAATGAAATTTAAATACACCAATAGCCTTGTAATTAAAGTTAAATGATCAGATTATTTCTAATTAAACCCATTGTTTTAGTTTATCACTTTTATTTCTTTTTGTGGTGTATGATAATTTATAGAGCATATATAGGAAGAAAAAGGGATGGATCAAAAAGATGAGGGAAGCTTCCTCATTAGAGTTTTTCTTGGAACCACCATTGTAAAATGAAGAAATACGGATTATGGTTTGATTCTTCTACATTTAACTGATATCAAAAAACAGATTTATTAAAGCTGATTTAAAGTGAAGTAAATAAACCAGTGTAAGGACATAGTCAATAAAACTAGAAATATCTGTCCAGCTTGCTATCCCAGGAAGTTTATTGTTTTTTGTCTATTTTAAATATCAATTGTTTGGGCATGTATGCAATTGTTTATTGAAAAGACTTCAGTGGATATTCCATAGGTCACTTCATTTACTAACCATCAATTATATATATAGGATGCTAGGAAATGAGTGCAAAAAGGTAAAAGTTCCAGGCAGTGAGAAATGGCCAGGTGTATAGGAGGGGTATTAGTCCATTTTCATACTGCTAAGAAGAAATACCCAAGACTGAATAATTGATAAGGAAAAAGAGGTATAATGACTTCACAGTTCCACATGGCTGGGGAGGCCTCACAATCAGGGTGGAAGGCAAAGGAAGAGCAAAAGCACATCTTACATGGCGGCAGGCAAGAGAGTGTGTGCAGGGGAACTGCCCTTTATAAAACCATCAAATCTTGTGAGACTTATTCAGTATCACGAGAACAACATGGGAAAACCCACCCCCATAATTCAATTACCTCCCACTGGGTCCCTCCCACAGCATGTGGGGATTATGGAAGCTACAATTCAAGATGAGATTTGGGTGGGGACACAATAAAACCATATCAGGAGGGGACAAGAGGAAGCTCTCAGAGTTATTTCAGTGCTAGAGATGAGGCTGAAGAGGGAGGCCAAGGCTGGGCCCTAAATTGTCTTTTATTCCATGTTACCATGCCTGACATTTGCCAAGGATGCAATGAAGAGGCATTAAACTATTTTATGTAAGGAGTTGACACATTTTGTGTTTATGATCAATCATTTTGGCTAAGGTTTTAGGAGAAACTTGAAGAAGAAAATACTGTAAGTATGAACAGCAGTTAGAGTTACTATAATTTCCAGAAGAAAGGTGACATAAATCTGAATTGGGGCAAAAAGTAAAAAGATAAGGAGGATGGCATAGATTTTAAAATATACTGGGGTAAATCTGCATTTTGCAATGATTGACACAATTTTACTTCTATAGCCATCCAAATCAAAGGTCACAACTTCAGCTCAAATGTAACTATGATTATTTACATACTCCTCTGTTTTAATTACAGTAGATTTATAACATGTTTCATTACAAGGTTGAGTTATCTACCCTTTATTTTTCATCACTCAGATTTATCTGGCAGATCTTGTGAATTTATTTACCCTTATGAGTTTAGAATCCATTATTTTGTGTAGTTCATAAGAATTTATGTTGAATTTTTGAGGGGAATTTATTGAATGTATGGACTAACAGAGGAAGCTCAGATTTCTTTACACTGTAAAGTCTAACAATCCAAAAGCAAGATATGGCATGTCTGTCTATTCATATCCTCCTTTCTAATCCTTGGTAGTGTAATATGTTTTCTTCTTATTGATCTTGGACATTTACTAATGTTTATTTCAATATGGTTTCTCCTTTGTATTGTTACTACAACTGAGGTCTGTTCTTTCCTTGTATTTTCCTTAAAATATGTTTATAATAGTATTTCAAGGACACAGAAAAATATAAGTTACCCCTGTAGTAAACAACCTCTGTCAAACTCTAGCATTTGACCATACTTGTTTCAATTATTTCTTAAAGAAATAAAACATTACAGATATGGCTGAAGCCTCTGTTTACCTTTCCAGATCCCCTCCCAAGTGGGATTGCCATATAAAATGCAAGACTCCCTGTTAAGTTTGAATTTCAGATAAACAATGAATAAATATTTAGTATAAGTATGTCTCATATGATATACAATTTGAATGTATTTTTATTTGCTAAATCTGACATCCTTATGCCTGAGGTCTAGAAATATCCTGAAATTGTTTTTTAATCATTCTTACACATTTCAAAACGCTGCACATTATGTGATCAAGAACATTTTAGAGGATTGTTTTGCATGCCTTCAAATCTTATATAAATGGTACAATATGTTTCATTCTGCAACTAGCTTTTTAAACTAAATGCTGAGATTTTGAGATTTATCCTTATTGACTATCCAAGTTTTTTACTCATTTGAAATGCAGTTTTTCATTACTACAAACAAGATTAAAATTAATATGCTCATAGATTTCTTCTCATTTTTCTTAGGTATTTGTGAGAGAGTCTCCTACATGGGTTCTTAAGCTCCACTGCACACTAGAATCCCCTGAGGAGCTTTATAACATACTGATGCCAGAAAAATGTCTCTGGTATTTCTGATTTAACTGGTTTGTAGTGCAGCCTGGGTACTGGTATGACTGTCATGTGCACCCAAGGTTAAGAACCACTGTTCTTCTCCAGCATATATTTTTAGAAGTGAAGTTGCTAGGTTGAATCTATGAATCTTCTGTGAACCTATGAATCTTCTATGGTACTAAATATTGCCAGATTGAGCTCCAGAGTGCTTTTACTAGTTCAAAATCCCATCGACTACAGGTACAACTCTCCACTGCTATGCTTTTTAATTTTTGCAAATTTGGTAGACACAAAACATTAAATCTCTGTAGTTTTATTTTGCATTTCTTTGACTGTTAGTGCCATGGAGCCTCATTTCATGTATTTATTGACTATTGAGATTTTCTCTTCTCTGATATGCCTGTTCACAATATTTGACCCTTTATTAACGGGTCATTTATCTCTCAGTTACTGAGTTATAAAATTTTTATATCTTGTTTGTGGTTCCTTTTCAATTGTAGGTCTTGTATATTACTTTCGCTAGTTTATGGCTTGACTTCAAACTGTATTTAATGATGTCCTTTGTCAAAATGAAGCTTTACATTTTTAATCTTTCCCTTTTGCTTTCTGTAATTTGTTTAAGAAATGCTTCACAACACAAAAGTCACCCACATATTTTCATAAATTGTTTTTCTAAAGATTAAATTTTTTTTACCCTTCAAAATTCTAATGGACTTGATTTTATTAGTATGAAGTAAAAATTTCTGCCCCATCTCCCAAAATAAAACAGCAATTTTCCCAGTGCCATTTGTGGAATAGTTTTCTTTTCCCGCACTAGTTGGTGTATCCATATAATGACATCAATATAAGTTTCCGAGCTCTATGTTTTGTTCAACATTGTACACTCTGAACAAATATCATATTATTATGAAATTATGCTAAATTTGGTATGTGATACAGCAGTTCCCCTTCACTTGTTCTTCAAAATCACTTTGGGATTTATAGATTATTTATTAAGAATACACAAGCCTATTACTATCTTATTAAAAGTTTCTAAAAATACAGAATATATGCTGAATTATGCAAATAATTTCAGTCTCTATGTATTTAAATATTTGATTTTTCTCTTATGATCTCTTAATATGATGCCTCAATACAGAACCATATTAGAGTTCCTAGAGTAAGCCACACTTAGTGGTGGTATATTACTCTTTATTTGTGATGTTTCATTCTAGTTGCTAGTCTTTTATTTTGATCTTTGTTTCAAGTTCTATTGTCTATATATCTTTTTAATTTGTCAGATTTTGGTAGTAATGTAATGCTAGATTAGAAAATATAATTGTGTGATGGTTAATACTGAGTGTCAACTTGATTGGATTGAAAGATACAAAGTATTAATCCTGGGTGTGTCTGTGAGGTTGCTGCCAAAGTAGATTAACATTTGAGTCAGTGGACTGGGGAAGGCAAACCCACCCTTAATCTGGTGGGTGCAATCTACTCAGCTGCCGGCGAATATAAAGCAGGCAGAAAAAAGTGAAAGGAGAGACTGGCCTAGCCTCCCAGCCTACGTCTTTCTCCCATGCTGAATGCTTCCTGTCCTTGAACATCGGACTCCAGGTTCTTCAGTTTTGGGACTCAGACTGGCTCTCCTTGCTCCTCAGCTTGCAGACAGCCTACTGTGGGACCTTGCTATCATGTAAATTAATACTTAATAAACTCATATATATATATATATATATATACACACACACATATATACACACACACACACACACTCCCATGTATATGTGTATATACACACACACACACACACACATATATATCCTATTAGTTCTGTCCCTCTAGAGAACCCTGACTAATACAAGTGTAAATATTTATTTTCCTATCTTTTCAAATAGCTTGAAGTGCTACAAGCATCTGTTTCTTGTAGTGCTTCAAACTATTTGAAGATAAAAAATTTATATATAAAATCCACCAATCAATCTGGATTTATACTGATTTGGAAGGGGGAATATCTCCATGATAAAGTTTTTGAATTTTTTTCTTTAGCAATTGGTCTGTGTTCTCAAGGATCAGTTTCACTCATTTCTATTTTCCTAGAAAAATACTGATTTCGTGTAGGATTTAAAATTTATTTTTATAATGTTGAAAAAACTAACCTTATGCAATTCTTTTAATGTCTTCTGCCTTTGAGATATTTTCCCATTTCCAATTCTTAATGTATTTGTGCTTTCACCATCAGCGTCCTGATTAGGTTAGCCATTGTTTTTCCTTTGTTTGTTTGTTTAAGACCCAGTTATTGGGTTGATTTATTAGCTCTGTTTTGTCTGTTCTCTAAGACATTACTTTCTGCTTTAAATTATTAAATATTTTCATTTGTTTAACTTATTTTATTATGTGTGAGTTAGTTACCGAAATTATTTATTTTCATTCTTTATCAATGCAAGTGGTTGTGGCTAGGAACTTGTCTCTAGTTACTGTGACTAAATTGTATACCATAGGTCTTCATATATAATGCTTTATTATATTTACTTTCCAAGTAATCTGCTCTTTTGCTCTGAACTTCATCTTTAACCCAAAAGCCACTTGTGAGAGCCACTTATTTCACTGTGATCAGTGAAGCTAATTCTTTTCCTTTGGGAAATATGTTAGCGATTTCTTTCTAATCTATTATTTTTTTTCTCATGTGAATATTGCAAGAGCTTCTTAAACCATATCTTATACTTATATTATTAAGATCTATGCATTACTTTTGGTCTATTTGTTTGCCGTGGTCTGAGAGATAAATTAGAATATCCTATATAAATTAGAATATTGTATTACTATATTTCTGTCCATTTTACTTGTGCCTATGTATTAATGACTGCCAGATCTTCATTATAATTTATATACCTTTTACACTTCCAAGTGCTCATGTTTGATTGATTGATTCTGTATGTGTGTCTGTGTGTGTCCGAATAGTGGTCTATTTAAGAGAAACTGGCCCTGGCTCACAGAGTGCTGCCTTTTCCTTCAGCTTACCCTGGGGATTGGATGTTTGTATGAGGCCAGCATGTCTTGCCCCATCTTTCTGAGACAGCTGCAGGGTAATCACAATAGATGTTTTCTCCTCTGCTTATTCCACATGTCTCTTCCAGCAAAGATGGCAAGCAATGTGATTTCCTCAATGAGACCTACCTCCCCCACCTCTCTTTAGTAACAAATGGTGGACAGGAGAGTTTCTACAGCCAGCTCAAACATGTTGTTTCTATTGACTCAAACCGAGGACTGTAGATTTTCCTCTTTAGCATCCCCCAATGTTCTGGAAAATGTTTGCATTTGGCTGGCTGTGTCTGAGATATGTAACTGCATATGCCCTCTGTCAGTATCTTCCTGCACGCTGATTTGATATTTATTGCATTTGACAGCTCTTCATCTTAAATTGTGATTCAAGATTATAGATATCCCTATTTTTGTCAAAAACATGGTTTACATTTTTCTTGTTATTCTTGTTTACATGATTTCAGAGGAGAGAAAGAGGAAGTATCTTTGGTCTCCTTTCTCACAGTTAGGATTCCCTTATATCTTTGAAAATTACTGATGCTTTGAGCTTCACTCTAAACAAATGAAATCAGAATTTTTAAGACTCAGCCCAAGAGATGTTTAATTTGATAAACTCTATAGGTGATTTTTCCGTGGGAACGACGCCCATTGCCTTAGCCAAACAAATATAGGCTTTTAATAATATTTAAAATATTCTAGTTACGTTTCTTTCTTTGTGTGTACCAAATGTGTATTTTGAGGAATCTTCTTACATTGTTTGAAGTTTCTTGTCACTTCTAAATAAGAGTACTAAATTGACTTCCATAAAAGCTAGTCATTTTAATCTAAGAAAGTATACATAGCTTTAATTATTGAATATATGTCTACTGAGAGTTTATGGGGAGAGAAAGCCTGTTTTGGTTCTGTGGAACTCTTTGGTATTGAAATATTCTGGTCTTTAAGGAATGAACAAAATATCCTTTGAAACATTCAACAATGATGATTTAAATAGTCAACCCACAATAGTTATCCAACCCTTCTTTGCAGTATAATCTTCTTTTACACTATCATAAAATCGTATGCCTAGTAAAATGATTGTTTTACTGTTCCTCTGTTGCACATCATGCTTTTCCTGATGAATGACTTTGCTCTAACTTTACTGAAATAAATCTTCTCAACTTAGTTGATAAATTATACTTCTTGTGAGAAAACACCTCCAAAATCAATTTCTCTTCCTTCAAGGTTTCCTGACCCAGATGTTGGTTCTCCATTTGTAAATACAATGGGCAATTTCATCTGTATTTTTCTTAGCATGCTTATTATGTTATATTAATTTGCATACTTGACTTTTCCCTTAGTGATAAATTGTAATGATAATAGAATATGTGATAGTTATTTGTCATCTACGAAATTCCGGGTAACAGATTAAGTCATTATTTGCATTAATCCTTAAATGTATAAGCTAAGTAAAATCATTTTTTCTATTTTCCTAATGAGAAAATGTGGGCTGAATGAAGCTGAGCAGTTTGTCCCAAATCACACAACTAGCCAAAGGCCAGTATTTAAATGTCTCAGTGCAGAAGCAGTGCTCTTCATCCACGATGCCCTGCTGTGCCCTAAAGGTCTACTGCCTTTTCAGGGTCTTGCTCAGTAACTTTTATGTGGTAAACCCTAGGATATTTATTACATTGAATCTCACCACTTAACCCTTACCATTAGTTTGATCTTAAATAGGCTGTTTTCATATAATTATAAATGTGGAACCCTCAAGTCAACATTTTGAATGTTTCTGTTTCCTCATTATACTCCAGCATTTTAATCAGAATATGTTCTCAGCTAGAGAACTTGGCCTAATCATTAGTTCTTATGCTCTCTCTGCCTTTTAGTGGACTCCAATTGTTTTGTAGATCTGAATTGACAGCAATTACATAAAGCAGCCAGAGGATGATTAGCTTGGAAAGCTGAATTTTGTCAAGTTAATTACCAGTGGGGCACACTGACTTTGATTCATGAATATGGCTTTTTACAGAGCTCTTAAGATGTTAATCAGTCAACACTTACTTTTTACAGTTTAATGGAAATGTCAGAAGGAGAGTTGCAGGGAAAACCCAGGAACAGAGACCCTGGTGAGCAGTGAATCACCAAATATAAAAGAAACATTCATTTTAAAGAAGTGTTTTCAGGCTACTTGATCATGAAATGAACACTCCTTTAACTGCTGGAGCTGCAATCAAATCAAGCATCAGTGTTCTTGACAAACGTGAGGATCAATTGAAGACTGTACTCTTTCAGAGACAAACTTTCTAAATTCCATTAAATGGAGCTGTGTGGCAGTAGAGATAAATGTAAAAAGACAAGAAAGAATATTTATTCTTTTTAAATATAAAATATTTAGAATGTATTATATACTTTTTTTTATCAAATTGGAAATATTCTGCAATCCCTTCCTAGTTCAACGTTGAACAAACACTACTGGGAATAAAGAATTCCTCACAATCAAGTCCTTTAGTTGCTTTTTAAGCCTGCTGCCTTTCTTTATCTCATGATGCCAAAAATCTCTTGTACCTCTTCCTCTGGCAGGGGAAGGGGGAGGGCAGGAAGACCTCCTTACCTGAACACTTTTGAGAATAATAGCTTGATAGTAAAAATATGAACCCCACATTGTGCTGTCAAATTTTGCCACTGAATATATTTTAATTTATGAAAAAAAATCTGACTTTTAACATAAGGAATCCACATCTAGAATGCGTATTTCAGCCATCATTTTTAAGCTATTTGTTTGTGACCAAAAAAAATAAGCAAAAAAAATATAGCCTTATTCAGGTTTATAAGCTTTTCGTTAGGAGGCAACATTGTATTTTAAGGGCACTGTATTTTGTATTTTGAAAACTGCAAATCAAGTGTAACATCAGCCAACAAAATATTATAACCAAATACATCTACTTACTGTGTTTATAAATATTCTCTCCTGGTTTACCTGTCTCCACTCAGAGCCCAAATTCATACCCAGGAACTGTGTCTCTTTTATAAACAGAATGCAGAAGCTTCTAGGCTCCGTACTGATTATCATATCCATTAGGTGACTACAAGAATAAATTTTCTAGTAAAAATAACAAGGCAGTTGTAACTTTTGCAGCTAATTAAAATATACACCAACCCTATGAGTAAGGAGAGAGAGTAATAAAAAATGCCTGCTTCATTTATTAATATTATGTAGGCAAAATTAGCATTTTGATATTAAGAAAAATGTCAAAGAATGCTACTGGATTAGGGAGTTTTATATTAGTGAAATAATTTGAAAGAAAGGATTTTTATAGAATTAATTCCTGTCAGCTTATCCAAACATTTGGACAAAAAATTCTGTAGGCAAATCATTAACACTTCAGTGCTTTTCTTTGAGGTTTCCTCAATAGAGACACTAATAGGATTTCTGAGCAAATATGGATTTCAATGTTCTTTTGCATGACATTAAAGACCATCACAGTTAGTGGTTTCTCATTCCCCTCTATGCACTAGAGGAGAAAACAACTCAACTACAATTCTGCAATGAAGGTTTCCTGGCAGACTGTCAGCATGGTCTACATAATTATTTGACATCTTCAAATATTTCATTTTTGAAATTTGAGAATTTTGGATAATGAGACAGTAAAATGTATTTGATGTAATTTCATAAATCATTATGATAAATTAAAATATTATGCTGCAGTTCTGTTCCAAACTTTTATGCGGGAATGTTCTCTTAATGTTGAATGTCCCCATTTATCATTGGAATTTTCCTTAGTTCTCCACATGTTAAATTTATGAAATTTAATAAGATGTTTTCAAAGATAGCTAGAAAATAGACATAACATTATCAGATACTATACATACTGAATACTTTGCAGAAAAATTACTGCCTAAATTAAGCACTATAGGCTTAAAATTGCTCTGACCCTTCCATACGGTGAGGCAAATGGTTTAATGAGCAATTTCTCTAGCTTTTCTCATTTGCAATTTAACATTTCCTATTTTATAGTACAAATATTTTTTCAGTCATTGATTCAACAAATATTTTCAGATTTCCTTCTGCACCAAGAATGTAATGATTACCAAAACCAAATGCCTGTTCCCCAAGAGTTCATAATTTAGTGAAATATTATAAAGTAATACATGCATGTTATGTGCTTATTTTGTTCCTGTATTAGAATCTAATTAGACTGTTTAAATCACCCAAAAGAGCCCCAGTCAGAGATAACCACAGTTAAATTACTGGGATATTTAAATATGTATTTGTGTGTATTTATTAGGTTTGAATTCACTGTTTTTGTTGATTAGAAATGGTCAATAGTGGCAATTTGATACAGTTCAACCTAATTAATATATTCCATTGTATGGAATATATTAATTTTCTGCAGTTGAATACTGAAATTATTATCAATACTTTCTATAACAAGTAGTGCTAATAAACTATGGTATATTGCATACTTGGTCACATCAATCTTTATGTATATCTTTTCATTCTTTCCCCAATAAAAATCCCTGCGAGCAAAATATCTAAAGAATATGTACATTTTAAAAAACTTTTGAAATTTATATTTTTAAATTGTGCTGAGGATTTTTTGCTCAGACTGTTGTTTCCATTTCAATTTGACCAATGGTGTTTTGAAAATTAACGGTTGCTTTATCCATTTTCCCCATGGTTTTATATTATCTGTCAAATCAATTTTAGTCATTTATGGTTTACTAAAAAGTTTGTAATTCATTCCTGTTTGGCCTCTTTAAAAAATATAGAATTGTCATAGTATTTGCTTTATTGTTAAGGGAAAAAACACCCAAAATATGTTGTTATATCCCTCCCACCACCATTTCTAACATTATACATTTCTTTTCTCCTTTGTTTTCCTATATGTCTTGCCAAGGATTGGTCTATTTTAATGACCTTGTCAAAGAACAAATATTAAATTAAAAATGGCATTTCCCATTTTTATCCCAATTTTTAAATTTAAACTTTTGTTTTTGGTGACTTTTTTCTTCTTTACTCTCCTCAAGTATATATTTTTACTCTTTTTTTCTAATGCTTAGTTTGTTTAATTGTTAGTTTACTTATTTTCAGGCTTTACTATGCCCGTTGCATAATATCTTTTTTGATAGTCATTTAAACTTTTACATCTCATTCTACACATTATATTAACGTTTACATTGCAAGGCATTCCATCACAAATATTACAGATTGATGAAAACTTCACACACATACTCCCCCAAATTGAAACCAGATATAGTCACTTTACTAAATCAATAAAATAATAAAAGCAATGGAAATGTTATTATAACTATTTTAAAACAATAAGGCCTCAGACACTCTGGAAAAGATATTCTCTTACAACTATGATATAACATGTCAGTGGTATGAAATTATATTACATGAAAGTTAGCAAATACCCATTAATTAAGTCCACTCTAATAATGACAATGACTTTAGGATCTGATGTGTAGTCATTGGATACATTCCTATTTGGACAACTGTCAAAAGGAACATAGATATTGGGCAACTGAGGTCATTTCTAATGAGGTTCTCAACTATGTAAAGGTGAGGTGTGTTTTCAGGATACCATGGACAGTTACATCCCTGCTATAGTCACCATCAGGTTTACTAAACAGAATCTAACAGCACACTTGACTCACTGTGCTCACAGCTGGAGACACTTTAGAACTCTTTCCCCATCATCCTCCACAGTGCACCGTCCACCCTTCTCTGAGAATCTCCAAGGTATGCCCTTGAAATAAAATAAAGAAGAGAAGAAAAGGGGCTTTGCCCCTCCCATTTCTGACCAACTAGCGGTTTGGCATAGCAGTGTACTACAAAATTCTCATGCCCTGCAACAGTCAGCCACCACTGGGAGCATGGCTACTTTTGCCATAATCTAAACTTTAAAAAGCCTGATAATGAGAAAATGGGTGTGTAGAAAGATTTAGAGGGAGGGGACAGCACTGAAAGGAGTTGAGCAATGTTTCCTTTAATCTTCTCAGCTTTTTTAGACTCAAAACAAGTTCTTGAGGACACATATGAAATTGCTATAGTCCTTTCTTACCTTTGGTCAAAACAAAACAAATGATAAAAAATGTCCCCTTCCTTTCTCTACTCCCCCAAAAATGCATAGTACAGTAAGAAGGTACTATTGAGATGTGCTATTTTGGAAGAAATTAAAGTTGGGATATGTAGTGAGGCTATTCACTATCAAGTTGCCAGGTTAGCATTTCACAGCCAGTGTCTGTGACCAGCAAGGAATAGTGGAACCGAGCTGTCTCCTCACTGCAGTCCAACCTTCTGGCTAGGATTCATCCTGCCATCCACCTTCACAAATCATTGGCTCAACTGTAAATACATGGCTTGATTGTATCACACCAACTGCTTTATTTTAGGCACAATGGAGTGCATTGGGAGCTGTATGAAAAAGTTTGTGGACTCCATGCTCGCAATAGCTTCAAACAACTGAAAATTCATTTGCTTGGGCAGGCTTCTGAAATATGTTTCCCAATTCTCTGTATCAAACACCAGGTTTCACTGCATTGATGGCTTGCATGAGGCACTCATACGTGGTCTGAACAAATTTCCGTGCATCCTCATCCACACTGCCAATAAAATATGTCTTAATCATGTCCCCATCATAACCAATGCAATAAAGAGTGATGTCGACATTAACAATATCACCTTCTTCCAAGGACTGTCTGGAATTCTGTGGGAAAGTATAATAATTCAGAGGAGAAGGATAACAATTTCTTGCAATGCATTCTAAGTGTACAGCATGGTCTGTTCCTTCAGCAGTTACACCTGGCTTAACCAGCCCAGCAGCAATATTCAACACTTCTCTAGCAGCTTAGATACAAGTCGCATCCCTTTTGATCTTCAGATCAGAAAAATTTAACTTGAGAAGTATCTTTAAGAGCCTGTTCAGATTCAGACATTCCCAAGGAATGATCAGTAAAATCATCTTTGCCTATAACTTGGCACCAGTCTTGTTGTCATCAGTGGATAATGTGGCCTAAGTTTACCAGTGTATGGATATTAACACTGGCCCACGGGTCAGTGTTAATATCACCTTCTACAGTCCAGAAAGACACTTCTTGCTTTTCCTTTTCATCTTTTGCTTTCTTATGTAATAATTTGTGAGCAGCTCAATTTTCTTTGAAATATTCTGTGAGCAGAATTACAAGCCTTGGATGCCCAGTTGATGCAGGTAGGACAATAGAGATTGACCTGGGGACTCCAGCCACCTGTCTCCTTGGCCACCATGCTGCCTGCCTACTGGGGGAGCACTCACCCGGAAAGAGGAGGAGGAGGACGCTTGTGCATCATTTTATATGTACTTTTTAATCTCTGTTATTTTCTAAGCATGATAAAATTGTAAAAGTGACTATTTTCCTAAGAGTTAATTAAGAGAGTCATTTATCTCAAATGTAAAATGGTTTGATTTGGTAAACATTGTTGGTGTTTAGAGCCATTCCAAATCCCACTTCTCATCTGCCTTCCTTTCCTATAGAATGTGGATAGCCAACATTTTTGCCAAGTCCTTACAAGTAGGGTCTAGTTCTACCCAGTGAGATATTAACAGAAGTCGCTAGGTAGTATTTCCAGGAGAGCTCTGGAAGAAGTCTTACAGAGCTTACTACTAGTTGCCTTTTTTTAGGTCCTCTACCCTTCCCCTTGTTCCTGCCTGGATATGGTCACTTGCCCAAAGGCTTAGCAGTCATCTTCAACATGAGAATGAAACCACACGCTTAGGATACTATGGAGCGGGACAGGCAGGGAGAAAAAGCAGAGATACTTAAGAATGTCCTGGAGTTAATGCACAGATCTAAACTGCCTGCCTCTGGACTTCCTGTTTCATGAAAAAAACAAAGCCTTTTCTTACTTATACTACTTTCATTATGTTTTCTCCTTCTAGCTGCTAAAATTAATGTTAATTGAAAGCATGGCTGTTGTTGATGTCAGTCCTCAACCCGGAATCCTTTTTTACTAATCAGTATGAATGTCTCCCAGCTACTGTGACCACATAGCTGCACTCTTCTCTGGGAAACTGTCCTGGCCTAAGAAGATCTGCTTTACTCTGGGCATGACACACCAGCCAAGCCCTGCTGCTCTGCCTGAGGGCGGACACCTCTACAGGGTCATTTGGATGTGTGTTTACACTGGGAGTGACTGAGACTAGACTTCAGTCTCTCATCCCACTCAAATGCATTATTCTATTTCCCTTACTTACAGATTTGTCCTAAGTATATTTCCTTAATAAATCACTTGCATCTGGGAAGGCCTATCAAATTCAGTGCATATTTTTATGTTAGGATTTTTAATAAATATCCTATATGTATTTTATAGACAAAGGGTGTAGCATGCGTAGTTTTTGCTTTTTAGAATTTTTCAACAATTTGTCTATGGCCTAATATAGGATTGATTTTGTTTGGCTACATGGAAATTTGAAAATAAAGTGTTTTTTCTAAATAAGTTACAAGTTTAGTATGTAAGTTAATCTTATTAGTTCTATCACTTAAATCCAATATGTTTATATTATTTATCATTTGAATCTCCTTGTATTTATAATAGTGTTCTTAAAATTTGCATGTACATTTTCTGGCTCATTCAGGACCATTCTTTTTTTTTTTAATCTGTGATGTACATTTTCTTACCATTTATAAAACGAATCCTCTACATTCCATGTATCCTCTTTGCTTTGAATTCTGTTGAGTATTTCTGCTTTTCATTTGCTATTATATTTGCCTGACATTCTTCTCATTTTATTTACAGCTTTATGTCATTTTAAACATAATGACTAAAAACTTTTAAACTTTTCTCTTGTAAATAGCATATATCCGGAATTTTTTTTTGCCCCAATCTTAGAGTCTTTGATTTTTGTATTGTTTTTCCTTTTTTGACACTGTCCTTGAAGAAGTGTAATCATCACATTTATTATAGTGTATCACGCATTTTAAAAATATTTCCTCATGTTCTTTTTTATTATTAGAAATTTTTAATTATTATAATAAAAAAGAACATGAGGAAGTATTTTAAAGAAATAATTTTATTATTAGAATTTTTAAATTCTAATAATAAAAGACTTTTTAGATTAAAAATCAGATTAGAATTTTTTATTTAATTTTATTTAGATTTTTCATAATTAATTTTATTATAATGTTTAAATTCTAATAAAAAACATGAGAATTTTAAACATAAGTATTTTAGAGAAAATATACATTATGAAAATTGTGATGGCTAACTTATTTTAATTCATTTTCCTTTATTAGTTTGTCTACTGATTTTGAAGGCAAACATTCTATTTCTATTCCAACAGAGTTTTTTAAAACTTGAAATAAATTTCACATCTTTTATTGATATTATTAATATAAAAAGAAAAGAATTGTTGAATTATCCCTTAACATGGTTTGGCTCTGCCTCCCCACCCAAATCTCACTTCCAATTGTAATCCCTATAATCCCCATGTGTCAAGGGTGGGAACAGGTGGAGGTAATCGGATCATGGTGGTGGTTTCCCCCACACTTTTCTGGGGATAGTGAGTGAGTCTCAGGAGATCTGATGGTTGTATAAGCACCTGGCATTTCCCCTGCTTGCACTCAGTCCATCCTGCCACCCTGTGAAGAAGGTGCCTGCTTCTCCTTTGTCTTCCACAATGATTGTAAGTTTCCTGAGGTCTTGCCAGCCATGCAGAACTGTGAGTCAATGAAACCTCTTTCCTTTATAAATTACCCAGTGTGTGGTACTTCTTCATAGTAGTGTGAGAATGAACTAATACATCCTTTTTATCAAATTTCTTCATATGTACTATTTTAAACCAGAACATAGTTTCTGAATTGTTTTAACATGTTAATTTTCCTAAAATATTTTAATATTTGTGTTACTTTTTACCACATCAGCAATAATAAAGAATAGTTATATTCTAATTCTGGAGTGGGTAAAATTTATTTTCTTCTGTTTGCCACATTCTTTCCCCCTCCCTAGTCATTAAACAAAGGTTTTATTTTTCTTGAAATGTTAGATATTTTACCATACCTGTGTATTGATGTCTTCTCATCAGTTATTACTACACAAATGCTGACTCAAGACTTCCTTGAACTCATGAAACATTTTTTTCCTCACTATTTTAAATTATTGCTTCTCTTGTTTGCTGTTTTTTTTTTTAATTGAATGCCTACTAAACGCCTATGTAATCTCAGAGTTCTGGCCTCCTTGTGTCAAAGAAATATTGTACCAGCCAAATTTAACCAGGAAAGAAAAACTTTACTCAAGACTATTGCAATAGTGGAAAGGGATTAGACTCAACTCCACCAAAACAATAAGTGAGAGAGATTTTAAGAGCTGAGGTGAGCTAGTTGGACATGTACTGAAGGATGTTATGGTGAGACTCGTGATTAGGTCAACTGTGTTTGCTAATTGGCACTTGTTGAAATTAGATTCTACTCTCCTATAGAAACTAAGAGATAGGGGTAGGGGCACTATCTTCCTTAATGATTATATTTCAAAGGGATGGCTCCCAGGTCCTTGAGAAAGACATTCCTGGATTGTAAAACTGGCTAGAGGCTGGGCTGGGAAAAGATTTATGTACATCTCAAAGGGATAGAGAAAAAGAGAAAAAATTTCCCATTACAAATTTTCTTTTTTTTTCTTTCCTTTTTTTTTTTTTTTTTTTTTTGAGACAGAGTTTCACTTTTGTTGCCCAGGCTGGAGTGCAATGGTGTGATCTCGGCTCACCGCAACCTCTGCCTCTCAGGTTCAAGTGATTCTCCTGCCTCAGCCTCCTGAGTAGCTGGAATTACAGGCATGCACCACCACACCCTGCTAATTTTGTATCTTTAGCAGAGACAGGGTTTCTCCATGTTGGTCAGGCTGGTCTCGAACTCCCAACCTCAGGTGATCCACCGGCCTTGGCCTCCCAAAGTGCTGGGATTACAGGCATGAGCCACCACACCTGGCCCAATTACAAGTTTTCTAAGGTAAATCCCATAGAAAAGGGAGGTAACGGGCCTGAGACTTAGGAAGAAGCAAATTTAGTCAAGGTAAGTGGAACAAGTCTTTCTTGGTCACATGTCATTTGTCTTTTGTAATTTTGGTCTCTTTATATTTTTCTGAGTTCCAGGAGAATTTCCTGAACTTGTCATCTACATGGCTGATTTGGTAAAATTCCATCAATGATCTCTATTTTCTTTCAGGTTTTAAATGTAGCAATAGTGCTTTTCATTCCACACAATCTCTCATTGTTTCAGAGTATTTTCTCATCCATGATTCTTATTCTACCTTAATTGGAAAAGCATGTCCTTGGTTTATTTTCGATACCAGCATAATAAATTCAAAAATCCTTTATCGTGTGTTGTAGTAAACAATGTATAAATCTATACTGTCTTATTTTAAATATTACTATCTTTTGAACCAAAGTAAGTGTTCTTCTGTTTGCTCATGATCACGGAGGACAGTCTGTGCATTTTCAATACTGAGTATTGAGATAGGTTCTTCCAAAAAACTTATGTATCTATTTCAAAATATTTCTAGCACAAATGAAAGGAGAATGAAATAATTTTAAGTTCTTTTATTTTTATTTTGCTAGTCAGGAGATCCAATAGCCTAGGATAGTGGCAGACAGAAATTAAGTTGTGTTGGAAGTCAAGACAGGATCTATCAGCCTATATTGAAGCTGAGTTTTCTTTTTCTCTGTTGAAGAAATCAGTAGTTGGATGAGCCAAGCCTCTACTCTATGCCTGAAAGACACTCCTGTAGAAATCCAGGGATTGCAGTGGTGCCCTCTCTTTGTTCCCAGAATATGGCAGAATCTGACCATAACTGGCTTTTAAGAGAAAGGATTAGCAAACTTCTCCTAGTATCCGGGACCGACTTACACATTAGGCAGGCACAGAAGGCACAGTGCCTAGGGTACATGTTACATTTAGAGGTTCAAAAATGTTCTAATTTGTCTTTAAATTAGAAATGAAAAAATATAAAGATAATGAATATATAATAATGAATCCAGCCTCAACATACAAGGAATAGTATATATAAAATAATGAATATATAATAATGAATCCAGTCTTTATACCAAGGCAGAATATAATTTGTAACTCTCTCTGTCTCTGCTTCTCCTTTATAATTTATAATTCTCTTTCTCTTTCTATTGGAAGGAGAGGCCCAGGCAGTTAGAAGTGTCTAGGGTCCATGAAAGTCATAATGAGGCCCTGCTACCGTCTCTTCCACTTACCTTTTAGATAAACCATTTAAACACATGCAGAGATTCTTGGTCACATCAGTAGTTCCTTCAAACTAGTATGACTTCACTATATCTAGCAGAAATATGTTGGAGTTTCTAGTTGTGAATATCACCCATTGCCATATATCCCCTGTTTTTGTAACTTATTGCTTACTGTGGTACAATCCTAATAGGGCAAAAGGTGTGATCACTTCATGCCTGGAATGAATAACAGCTATAAAAGTTTCAGTCACCTCTAAGTCCATGAATAACACATCAAGTGTTTCATAAAACACTTTAAAAAACAAATCAGGGATAATAAAGTATATATTCTTTCAAAGCTCAAAAATCACTCAGATGAACATTTATATAGCCATATTCCACTTAGTTCCAGTTTCCTCCACTCTCTGGAAAAATTCTGAAGGTTCAATCTGGAAGTCTCATGAGAGTCATCTTGGAGGCTTTCGGGTTAATAAAACTGAAAGCGTAAAGCAGCTGAGGTTGGCTTCTTCACCAGACAACTACTTTAGTTATTAGAGATGAAATCTTAAAAGATTATGGAACAATTTAGCCCAGCAAAGGGAAATCTAATATGCAATGAAAATAATGATCCTGAATAGCTAAGAATTAATTATGTGGAATTCCACAGTCTAAAAACATCATCTGTTAGGCCTGGATGGAACAGCTTCCAGATAAGGAGCGAAGTCGGCCTACCTCCTCTGTGCCAGGCTCCCGCCAGTACATGCACTATCCCATGTCATCCTCTAACAGCTCTCTATGGCGGCTACTTTTATTATTAATATTTCATAGACAATAAAGCAGGCTGAGAGATTTTAAGTAACTTGCCTAAAGTCAGATCTAGTAAGGCGAGAGTGAAAGCCAATAAATTCTATTTAGTTCTTTGCTCTAAACTGATTACACAACTCTATCTTCAAAACACCTTTCCTTTACATAGGAAAAAAAATGCATTTGTTGGAGGGCTCTCATGAAAATTTTACTGCCTTATATACATTTTCCTTCAGCATATATGCAGAGGTTTTCTTACTGGCTGTGGTTTTGCTTTATTTTATTAAGAAATAAATTCAAATACACTTAGTAAAGAAAGAACCAGTTCTATTACTCTCTGAAATATTTTACATTACTAGACTTATTCTACATTAACACTACTTTTCTCCTGTACCACAAAATCCATACTATATATAATATATATAAAACATGGATAGTGTGTGCGTGCATGTGTGTGTACGTATGTATGTATATGTATATATCGGCCAACTGTTAGACTTTCAATAACTATTTTGACTCTCTGTTTGAGAGTGGAGTTTACTGTCACGAATCTCAATAAACTACAAGTGGCTTGAAGACATGGACAATATCTAATAGAGACCTTACAACCACTTTTCCAAAGCTCATAGGGCCAGATATGTTTTGGACCTAGGTATTTTTTATAATTTTTAGAAACTTGTGTATATGTGTGTATATACATGTTTGGAATAACAACATATAATCAAAGACATCCATATTTCTTCAGCAAAAACTGAATATTGTGAATATTCACACCAAGTGGAATAGATAAGATACAAATTGCCTTAAACCAGTTCAGAACAGGTTATCCTAACAAGTGAGTTCAGGTCAAGATCAAATTTTTGTCACCAAATGAGCCACAGACACTGCATGTTTAGTTTGAATTTCCATATTATAAGGAAGGAAATGTGGACCTGTACTTCTTTTGTCCCTGCTTAGCTCCCCTACAAGGTGTTTGTTAGCTGATGGAGAGAAGCCTGTTGTTCCCCACGGCTCAAACCAAAGGACTATAAATCATGCTGCTATAAAGACACATGCACACGTATGTTTATTGCGGCACTATTCACAATAGCAAAGACTTGGAACCAACCCAAATGTCCAACAATGATAGACTGGATTAAGAAAATGTGGCACATATACACCATGGAATACTATGCAGCCATAAAAAATGATGAGTTCATGTCCTTTGTAGGGACATGGATGAAATTGGAAATCGTCATTCTCAGTAAACTATCGCAAGGACAAAAAACCAAACACTGCATGTTCTCACTCATAGATGGGAATTGAACAATGAAAACACATAGACATAGGAAGGGGAACATCACACTCTGGGGACTGTTGTGGGGTGGGGGGAGGGGGGAGGGATAGCATTAGGAGATATACCTAATGCTAAATGACGAGTTAATGGGTGCAGCACACCAGCATGGCACATGTATACATATGTAACTAACCTGCACATTGTGCACATGTACCCTAAAACTTAAAGTATAATAATAATAATAATAATAATTAATGTAAGATGTCCCAATTCAGCAGACAGCATCCTTCATGATAAATTATAAAAATGAATATATTAAGTTTTGAGATTGAGAATCAAAGTCAAATTTTTCTTTGGCATTTCTCTTTGGCAGGGAAAATAAGTTGATGTTTTTAGAGACCTTTATATGACATAAAGAACCTTAAAACCTAGAAAAAAAGGTTCAATATAAAAAAAAGGAGGTGGTCCTGCCTATTTTTATAGTCATCATCCATGTAGCTACTTTGCCATTTTGGGGCAGAGAATGTGATAAGAAACATGACAAACTGGCACATGAGATTGCTATGAAAGAGGACGGAGATGGAATGCATTATATCCTTTATGTAAGTATCACTGTGTGAAACATAATTCTGATAAGTGAGATGTCTAGATAAGTGTGATGCCTGGGATTCCGAAAGAGGAGAGAGAGATTCAACTAATGCATTTGTTTTCTTAAATGAGAAAAAACATATTTCACTTTATATTTTACACATTCATAGCTGGATTTCAGTTTAAACAATCTGACTACATATATGTATAAATATATGTGTATATATGTTATAACATATATACACATATATATATATATTTCTCTTTTTTTGTTTTTTTGAGACAGAGTCTTCCTCTGTTACAAATAGGCTGGAGTGCAGTGGTGCGATCTCAGCTCACTGCAACCTCCAACTCCCTGGTTCGAGGGATTCCCCTGCCTCAGCCTCCCGAGTAGCTAGGATTACAGGCATGCACTGCCACGCCCAGCTAATATTTTTGTATTTTTAGTAGAGACAGGGTTTCACCATGTTGGCCAGGATGGTCTTGATCTCCTGACCTCGTGATCCACTCGCCTTAGCTTCCCAAAGTACTGGGATTACAGACATGAGCCACCGCGCCTGGCCTGACAATATATTTTAATTACACAAAAAATTGTTATGATTATTAAACTTTCAAGGAGATTTAAAATATCATTCAATTATCCATCTACTGTATTGTCTTTGCATTTCAAATACAATTCACTTCTCAAAAACACAAAACAAACAGTCACATAAACGAAATGGTATTTGACTCTGTGCCTTAATTCACTGGTTGTACTGCATGACTCGTGTGTGTGTACACATACACACACACACACACACCCCTTTGAGATGAGTGTTACTTATCCTGTGATCTAGCTATAGTATTTAACAATGAAATAAGCATACTCTTAATTAAGTCTTTAAAAGTCAATGAAAAAAACTAGAACCGAAGAGACCAAATTAGTACCAATAAATATGTTTTTCAAAACTTACTCTTTTGATTCTAACATATTTTAGAGATAAATATAGGTGAAAATAAAAACAAATAGTCTAATTCTTAGACTAGTCATGAGTAGACAAGTCTAAGAAAGCCACATTAGGCTTGGCGCGGTGGCTCATGCCTGTAATCCCAGCACTTTGGGAGGCCAAGGCAGGCAGAGCACGAGGTCAGGAGTTCAAGACCAGGCTGACCAACATGGTAAAACCCCATCTCTACTAAAAATACAAAAAAAAAAAAAAAAAAAAATTAACCGGGCGTGGTGCATGCGCCTGTAATCCCAGCTACTTAGAAGGCTGAGACAGGAGAATTGCTTGAACCCAGGAGGCGGAGCTTGCAGTGAGCCGTGATCGCGCCACTGCACTCCAGCCTGGGCAATAGAGCGAGACTCCGTCTCAAAAGAAAAAAAAACAGAAAGCCACATTGATGAATGTCGAACTATTCGGACCAAGATAAATCTTTTAACAAACTCTACTCTTTTAACTTTGCATGGTACTGACACATGGTAAATAATAAATATTTGCTTCGTTGTCTAAGATCTACAGTTATGTAGCAAGCATGTTATGTATTTCATTTGAACCATGCAAGAATATACTAAGCAAATAAGGATGATATATCTTATTGATCTCAAAGCACGATAAGATAATTTAAGTTTCACAATTACACATGGAATATAGTTAAGGTTTCAGTCTTGATTCAAAGATAGATTCTCTTTTTTCATAAAAGCTACTGCTTCTTTTCTTTCAGTTGTGACATTTAGTAACTCTTTTATAAGCCCGATCGATCATCAGGTTAAGAAGGACAACTAATTAGAATTTGCTTATAAAAAGCTTAGAAATTATACAGCAATTTTTGAGCTTAAAGAAGTTTATGATGTCTAAATGATTAGGCCTATATATAAAGCCTCCATAAATACCATACTCCGAAAATACAATTATCCTCAATCTTAAATCAAAGTAACTATTAATTCATCTTCCCATTGTGTTCATATATTACTGATTTATTTAGCAAACTCTAATATTATAAAAAAAGAATATCCATAAATTGCATTATTTCCTTTGATGACTCAGCAACTGTTAATTTTTCCATATTGAGCACATTATTTCTAACTGAATGGGCAACACTTGTTCAAGGGACAAATAAGTAAATGATTAACTTCAGTTGTTCAGTGTTTAAAAAGTTTTGAACCGTAATAACATGCAGGTAACCAAATAATGCTGATCTCAAATAGCCTCTGTTAAAAAAAAATCAACCCCTCCAAACATCCAAGGTGAGGGGAAAGAAAATGTGATGAAACCATCCTTCTAAGGGCATCTTTGGAAAATGTTCTCTAATGGGAAAAAAAAAAATCCCAGATATTCATCATATGAATAGCCAGGGCCCAGAAATGCACACAAAGGCCTTTTCAAATAAAGATAACAGTAGGGTGAGAGAAAGTTTTGAAGGGCAGGTGTGACGTCCATCAGATGTGACTCAGAATCCCAGCCCTATCACTTATTGACTCTAAACTTGTAACCTCACTTGACCTCAGTTTCTTCATCTTTAAATAGGGGATAGTAGTCTACCTCACAGTGCCATGTGAGGACTCTATTTAGTTGTACTGCTGCAACATGATGGGTTTTAGAACACTTTAGTCATTGCCCCTAGAGGCTTCCTTTTTTGCCCACTAGGACAAAAATAGTGGGCTCTACCAGCATGACTGAATTCACTGAACCCAGCCCCCAGTGTTGACTGGAAGCCTCTCGGGTTCCTTATCGGAGAAGGCACTGAAAAACACTGGGAATGATGGCTCACGCCTGTAATCCCAGCACTTTGGGAGGCCCAGGCGGGCGGATTATGAGGTCAGGAGATCGAGACCATCCTGGCCAACACGGCGAAACCCCATCTCTAGTAAAATACAAAAAAGAAAAAAAAAAATTAGCCGGGCATGGTAGCACGTGCCTGTAGTCCCAGCTACTCAGGAGGCTGAGGCAGGAGAATCGCTTGAACCTGGGAGGTGGAGGTTGCAGTGAGCCAAAATTGCGCCATTGCACTCCAGCCTGGCGACAGAGCAAGATTCTGTCTCAAAACAAAACAAAACAAAAAACCTTTCATGAACCTCAGGAAATATCCTTACAATTATTCAGCATGTTCTTGGTTTCAAATGAGAATGCACATTACTTTAAGAAAGAGATATCCGTCAGATGAGATAAAAGAAACTAAATAGACCCAATTCCATGTGAAAACATAAATAAAACACTGAGAAAAAATTAAAACTTAATCTACTTTTAAGTCATTCAATTAAAATTTAGAATCTTTCTTCTTTAAAGACAAAATATATAACCTATTTACAAAAAAGTCTCATTTTCTTAGTAACTTCAAAGCTCACTAAAGCTGATTAATATAGACCTAAAGATGATGAACCTAGTTTTGTGAGAATTCATGGGCACAATTACTTTTCAACAAGGCCCTATTTTGCTGAAGTAATCCACCAGGTGTCCCATGTTTACAGGAGCAATTTTATCCAGTGGTGCCCGCAATTCTAAAGCTTCAACTTAACCAATGCTAGAAAAACAAAACTATATTTCTACATAAAACTGTGAAATGACTTTCCTCATGATGTCATAAGGCTCCTTCAAGAAACTGACTTGAAATAAAATAAATGAAGTTCATCTGAAAATGATTTTATATTTACAAATATTGACACCAGGTGAATGAGCACAAATTCACTTATTTTAAATACCAATTTGGATGGGTAGCTGAAGTTTAAATAAGAATGTACTTTGGAACTGAAAGGAAGAAAAAAATTTTTAGGTCGGAAATCCAATGCATATCAAGAATATAATAACTATACCCTATGACATTCTTCAAAGCCCTTTATGTGAAAAGTAGCTCAGTGTTCATTTTAGTTGAGTTTAATGGATTTATTATTTATAATTTTAGGTTAATGAATGTCCTGTATTGATTTTCTTATTTATATATACATTTAGGTAAAACAACAGCTTCTATACAGAGGTTCAACTGTGTTTCAGCTTAATACAAATGACTGTTAAAGAGAGTGAGAGTAGTAATTTTAGTCAACTTTTTGCTTGTACTGGGTTCAGGTTTTGATCTCAGTCTCCAGTAGTTACTGAATCAATGACTATGTGCAAGTTATTTCACTTTTCTGAGCCTTTCTTATAAAACAGAAAAAAAATAACACTTTTGGCTAGCTGTGAGGGTTACATAAAAATATGTACAAAAGACTTTGTACACATCTATTAATATATAAACCATTATTTTCTCTTTCCCCATTGCTCTAAAAAGATGTTGTGAAGATTAAATAAGATTATAAAACACATCTAAAAGAGCTTTGTAATTGTTAGCTTTAAAGTGTTGTTAATATACATGGGAGCAGGTTATATTTATCTGTTTTTAAGTAGACTGATTTCTACATGGGTTCCTTAACATCAGAGAAGAAAGAATTTCTGGTGTTCTCTCTGATATGGTTCATTTATTCTTAGTATCAGAGGTTTACCCTCATCTTGTCCCTGTAACTACGTAATGAGATCACAGATGGTTTTCAACTACAATTACAGTAATAATTGTTGCCAAATTCTCAATCTAAACTATCTATGTATCTTCCAATGCCCTTTTCATTGAAGGCTAAGCCAATGAGTTTCAGATATACTTGGAAATGCAGCTAGTGTCTCAGTCTCTAGATACATTTGTAATTGCCCATGTCCAACACCCAGGTGGTGTAGGCAAAGCTTTATCAAGTGTATATTTTGAAGGATACATTCCTCCTTACATGGGACTTTCAACATTTGTTAGAGGTTGTCTCTTGTCCCAAGGTATTTAGATTTGTGGAAGAATAAAGGAGGAGAAGGAGAAGGAGGAGAAAAAAGAGGAAGAAGAAAGAAGAAAAGGGAGGAGGAGAAGAGGAGGAAGGGGAAGGAGGAAAGGAAGGGAGGGAAAGGAGAGAGGAGGAAGAAAGGGAGAGAGAGGAAGGAAAGGAGGAGGGAGGGAAGGAAGGGAAGAAGAAAAGGAGAGAGAGAGACACAGAGAGAGAGAGAAGGAATGGAAGCATCTAGTACCCTTGCAAGGATGCTGGGGCCAGTCCCTCATTACTTAACAATCTCTTGCCATGGAAAAGTTTATCCTTTTTTTCAAGCTTCTTTCCTTAGATTTTTTTTAAAGTTACCTTTTGAGTTTATGTGAGGCTTAGAGATAGTATTTTTAGAATGCCCTCTGTAGTGCCTGACATAAAGAAAGTAGGTCTCAAGAAATGGTAGTTGTCTTCATATCTGCACCTCTCCCTCCTTAACTATTATCCTCTATCCATCTCCCTATGTCAAGATGCAAGCCCAAACTAACTAACTCTGAATGTCTGAATGGTGGTGTCCAGGCATCAGATCAGTATTGTTAAAGTTACCCAGGTGATTTTAACATTCAACTAGGTTGTGAGTCACTCTACCATCCTGACTTTTAAAATATTACAGATATCTGTGGAATTTGATTCTTAATCTCAAGGGTGCATTTACTAGTGATTTGTGATGGCAAATTACATCAACTCCTCTGACTGCTAAATTATAAGAGATTTGAAATCAGTTAATGAAAAAGCTTCAGATCTGTTCCACTGGCTCTCCCAAAGGCTTGATTGTAATAAAAACTTGAGACCCTAACAGATTTATTGCTTAAAAGCAACAGGAATGTCAATATTTTCTCCAACACAAGGGGAATCAAATCAAGCCCTGGAAGACTATTTAGTTGTTTTTTAATATCAAGTTCATGCAAAAGTTCATGCGGTTACTTTTGCACCAATTAATAAAAAAAATTAGTAATGTTAAATGAAGGCAAAAAAAATCCTGCTAATGCGGCTATCCTATGCATAAACGAATCTGTTTTGTTCTTTTCTCCCATTAATACTCTTGGCATCATTATCATTTTCTGAGATAAGAGTTACCAGTTAACAGAGAAGTGTTGGCACTAAAGTTACTACTTAGGGCAGTGGTACCCAAAGGAGGCTCTCAAAAAAGCAGTACCACCATCACCTGAGAGCTTGTTAAAATGCAAATTATCAGGCCCCACTCCAGACCTAATGAATTAGACTTTTCGATAGCGGGGTCAAGGAATCTGTTTTAACAAGCAATTCCAGTGATATTCAATGTACATTTATGCTTAACAATCATGGGCTTAGAGGAAATCTAAAACAAACGAAATTCAGTTCTTAATCCATGGTATTAGATTTTCTTATCGCATGTCTTTCTACATCCATTTTTTAATTTTTCTACAAAAATGCTTACAAAATAGTTTTCTTTCACAGAGAATTTTTCAATCCACTGCAGAATGACCATGAGGACTTGAAGTTCTTGTCTAAAGTCAATATTTACCTCTTTTTTAAGAAACAAAAGACTTTCAGTCTATTTTTGAGTGGATCACATACAGAGCATAGAGTTAAATATCAAAGGCATATTTTGTTTCAGCAGGTCCTGAGGCAGTAAGAATCCCTCGGGAACTGGATAGTACAAAATCCCAAAGTTTCAGAAGCTGCAGAATATTCATATGATATAGTCACTTTTAGCTCACTGAAATATAATCTTGCATTTTAGTTGCTTCATTTCTATAAAAAAAATTCATGTTAAATAGCATTTTTGACAACCCTGACATCTTACAAGGTAATCAGTTCAAGGCTGAATAAATGAAAGCCTGCAGGAAAGCTGATTCAACATGTCACTTCTTAAAGCAAATAATATATAATATTGATCTCAACCTCTATTTCTGTGAAGATATAAAACATAAGAGCATCTTGATAATAAAGGATTAGACATGCTACTGTATCTTTTCATTTTCCAATAAAGATGGATAACGTAACTTCACAAATAATCAACATTTTAATCATGCCTATGTTGGAGAGATGGGGGAAGGTGCTATTATTCAGTAATATGGGATCATTTGTGTAAGATTTACAGTTACTATCCAGCAACCCATTGATTCCAGAAACACACATACTGTTCCACTTTTCTTCATGAAGTGCCCAAACTGCTTGACTTTCTTGAGTTTATTAATGTTTAAAGTGAAAATCTGCTTTTTGAAAATCCAAAAATCTTTAATATGTGTCTATCTGTGAAGAATTTTCAAACAGACAAGATGCTAAGTCAAATTCCAATTGTAAGTTCTTTAAGTAGAGAATGCTATTTTCTGAATAACACAAACAAAAAATAAAACAGCTGGTAATCATTCCCATCTCACACCACATAGATAGTCAAAGAATAAAATAAGATCTTTCCAGTGATCGGCAGAATCCCAGTTACCCACCAGGGAGGTCACTTGACCTAATCCTGTTCCTCTTAGCAGTGAGAAATAGAGAAGAGCGTAATTTCATAATACAGGGGAAAAAGGTATGATTCTGTCATTAAACAATAGATTTGACCAAAGCACTAAATGTGGAAAAGACATATGACTCTATTTTTCAGTGGTTCTCATAGTAATAATGCACAGGGGTTTTGGATTGGACATTTCATTTACTTTTTTGTTTATTGTATTGGGAACATATAGAGTTCCTTCATTCTCCCTAAATACTGACTTTCTTTTCCTATGCCTTATGGCATATTTTTAACATGATAGGACCTTAAAAATATTACATCTACAGCCAACTTCTCTAGCACTTTCATTAGTCAAATGTTTTTTATGGTGTGTGGGGGGCATTTATATGTGTTATGTCATTCTATATAAATAGAAAAATCAACCCATGATAATATTCCAAATAATCAATAGGTTATTAGCATAAAGAAACAGAAATCACTGAGTAAGTTTATTCTGCATTTAAATATATATATATATACTTTATTTAGTATAATATAAACAAGTATGATAACAACCATGATAAAATGCTCCTCAGTATGACAGTATTGATTTTGTCCAACATCAAGTTTATTTAAATTTCTGCTCAATAAATCCCTGTAACTATTCCCATGAACTATATCAATCCATGACTTGAGGGAGAAAAAATACTCCTCTAGATGACATAAATCACTTCAATTATATTTTTGAGAAAGCAGTAAAAAAAAAAAAGCCATGATATAGGATTCAAAATAAAAGGCTCAGTTCATTTAAAAACTTTTTAATGGAATGTACTTGGTTTTGAAATGAATGCAAAAATAATGTCCTGAGCAGGAGCAGAAGCTAGTGGTGTTTTTCTTGCACAGTTTGCAGAACCATGAGCCAAATAAACCTCTTTTCTTTATACATTACACAGCCTCTGGTATTCCTTTATAGCAATACAAGCAAGAGTGCTAAGGGAAGTGCCAGACTTTTTTTTAACAACCAGCTCTCATGGGAATTAAGAAATAACTCACATCCCCCGATTACCTGCAGGATGACAGCAAGCCGTTCATGAGGGATCCTCCCTGATGACCCTAATATTTTCCATTAGGCTACACCACCAACATTGGGAATTAAATTTCAAAATGAGGTTTTGGGGAACAAACATCCAAACGATAGCATATTACAATGGTTCCTGAAATTTAAAAGAAAAATCCAGAAGATGGTTTTATTAAATTTCTAGGAATTGAGTTATATCAATCAGCTATTGTCTGATAATGCTGCAAAATAAACATTCCCAAATTACAACAGGCATTTATTTTTTTCTTGCTCATAGGTCCACAGTTTGACTGGGCCAGTTACACGTTAGGCTATGGGGTTGGTTGGGCTTGCTCTAAGCTTTGTATTGAGTTCAACTCTGCTCAGATCTCTCCACATCCACCTTGGATCAGCAGGTTCCTAGCATATGTGCTTCTCAAGGCAGATGACAGAGTATAAGAACCAAGCATTACTATCACACTAGTCTTTAAGTAAAAAAATAAAATAAAATAAAATAAAATAGCAGATACACATTTGAAACCTCTACTTAGTTCCTATCCACTACTATTACATTGGTCACAGAAAATCATATGGCCTAGCACAACATCAACTGACATGGCAGTATGCTCTATCACAGTAGGAATAGAAGATAAATGAAAATTTGCTGAAAAACAAATCCAAACTATCAAAAGTTTTTTCCAAGAAGAAAAATTGAACAGTGTTAATTAGTGATGAAAGGTCTAGTAAGATAACATCTGAAAAGTATTCATAGAATTTATGAAATAAGGATATTTTAGTGACCTAGTAAAGTGCAGCTTTAATAAAATAATAAAAAGCAGATTTCAGAGGTATAGAGTGAATTCAAGGCAAAGAACCGTGAAGTAAGCATAGATGAATGTTTAAAGAAATTTGGGGCTGGGCACATTGGCTCACTCCTGTAATACCAACACTTTGGGAAACTGAGACAAGACAATCACTTCAGGCCAGGAGTTAGAGAACAGCTTGGAAAACATAGCAAACATAGCAAGACCTCTTCTCTACAAAGAAAAATAACAGGCTAGCCATAATGGCAAGTGCCTGTAGTGCCAGCTACTTGGGAAGCTGAGATGGGAGGATCACTTGAGCTCAGGAGTTTGAGGTTATGGTGAGCTATTAATTATACCACTGCACTCCAGCATGGAAGACAGAGCAAGATCCTGTCTCTTAAAAAAAGAAGAAAAGGTGGAAGAGTAGGAAGAGGAGGAGGAGGAGGAGGAGAAGAAACAAAGAAAGAAAGAAATTTGGCTACAAAAGAGAAGAAGGAGAAATGACTGTGGTCATTAGTTGGGGGTGCAAAAGTTTAAGGAGAGTTTTCGTTTGTTTAATTTCTTCTGCATTGTTTTTAAGATAAAGAGAGTTAGCCAAGCATAAATCCTGACATCAGGAAGTCAATAGAGAGGGTAAGGTTTAGGATACAAGGAAGAAGTGATAATGAATACAGTGAGGTCCCTAAAAATGTGAAGGGATATAACCCAGAACCCAAGAGGAGAAAGAAGACTTGACCAAAATTGGCTTTACTTTTTCTCTACAATAAATTGGGTGGAAGAGATTTTGAAACTACAGACCAGTAATTCTGAAAAGGGAAGAGAAAAATGAAAGAAAAACATAGCTAGAAAAGTTAGTAGAGAAACATAACCCAAAAGTTTGAAGGCAGGAGAATTCTAGAATTGACAGGGAAAGACTGAAATTTCTGGAGTAGAAACTTCTGAGCACAAGAGAAAATTTCCCTTCATGTTGTGGAAAGTTGAGATCCACAGCACCAGTAGAGGGATTAGAAATATGAAAGAGAAGAGATTCCTCTCTCTGACAGGTTTAAAGGATAGCTGTAGAAATAGTGATGCTGAGGTGAAGCCGAATTTAACTAAGATATTACACCTCAGAGTGATATTTTTAGCAATAT
Organism: Homo sapiens; assembly: GCF_000001405.40. Taxonomy (NCBI): domain Eukaryota; kingdom Metazoa; phylum Chordata; class Mammalia; order Primates; family Hominidae; genus Homo; species Homo sapiens. Next base: position 40,710,993 of record NC_000012.12, on the reverse strand, counting down.
AAGTATTAGTGTCTTCTTCTAGAAGAGGTTCCAAAGCATGTGGAAAAAGGCTGAATTTAAAATTCAAAAGTAGAAATAACTAGCTTATGTGTGAGTTACACTATGAAATCTAAAAAGATAAAATAATTGTTGAGAACAGCAAGATTGTCTCTACCTGTATATTTGCAAGAACCCATAAGAAATTCCTTGGTTTTGCAGTATTCTTTTTAGAAATAGAGGACAATATGAATAAATAATATTTGTAAAAACAGTTGTAACATTGTTTTACAAGTCTGTACTCAAAAAATATCTTAAATGAATACCAGTCACTATATTCATATCTACCACCTTAGATCAGATATTAGATTTCCATATTCAGTGGAAATTTATCAGTACAGCTATACCTCATTTTATTGGACTTCACTTTATTGCACTTCACAGACATTACATTTGTTTACAAATTGAAGTTTTGTGGCAACCGTGTGTCAAGTAAGTCTACTGGCATCATTTTTCCAACAGCATGAGCTCACTTCTTATCTCTGTGTCATCGTTTGGTAATTCTCACAATATTTCAAACTTTTTCATTATTATTATATGTGTTATGGTGATCTGTGATTGGCGATCTTTGATTTTACTATTGTAATTGTTTTGGGGTGCCATGAACTGCACCTACGTAAGATTTAATTGATACTTAATCAATAGGTGTTCTGACTGCTCCACCAAGGGCTAATTCCTCCATCTTTCTCCCTCTCCTCAGGCCTTCCCATTCCTTGAGACAACAATATTGAAATTAGTTCAGATAACCCTACAATGGCCTCTAAGATTCATAAGATTTCATAAGATTTTAGCTGCCATAGTGATTCCTCTGATGGTTCTGGGAAAAAAGTCAAATAAAATGGCCTCCAAGTGTTCAATTGAAAGGAAGAGTCCCACATCTCTCACTTTAAATCAAAAGCTAAAAATTATTAAGATTAGTAAGGAAGCTATGTGGAAAGCTAAGAAAAAACCTGGGGCTCCTGGCGAAATAGCTAAGTTGTGAATATAAAGGAAAAATTCTTGAAAAAATGTAACAGTACTACTTTAGTGTACACACAAATAAGAAAGACAATCAGACTTATTGCTGATAATGGAGAAAGTTTGAGTAGCCTTGATAGAAGTCAAACCAGCCACAACATTCCCTTAAGCCAAAGCCTAAGCCAGAGCAAGGCCCTGACTCTCTTCCATTGTATGAATGCTAAAAGAAGAGCTGGAAGCTAGCAGAGGTTGGTTCATGAGGTTTAAGGAAAGAAGTCATCTCCATAACATAAAAATGTGAAGTGAAGCAGGATGTGGTGATGTAAAAGCTGCAACAAGTTATTCAGAAGATCTAGCTAAGCTCACTGATGAAGGTGGCTACACTAAACAACATAATTTCAACGTAAACGAAACAGCCTTATACTGGAAAAAGATGCCATCTAGGACTTTCAGAGCTAAAAAGGAGAAGTCAACACCTGGGTTCAAAATTTCAAGACAGGTTGACTTTCTTGTTAGTAGCTAATGTAGCTTCTGACTTTAATCTGAAGCCAATACTCATTTAGCATTCTGAAAATTCTAGGGCACTTAAGAATTACGCTAACTCTACTCTGCCTGTGCTCTGTAAATAGAACAACAAAGTCTGGATGTAGCATATCTGTTTACAGCATGGTTTACTAAATATTTTAAGCCCACTGTTGAGACCGACTGCTCAGAAAAAAAACAATCTTTTCAAAATATTACTGCTCATTGACAATGCACCTGGTCACCCAAGAGCACTGGGGGAGATGTATGAAGAGACTGCTGTTATTTTCATGACTGCTAACATAACATCCATTCTGCAGCCATGAATCAAGGAGTAATTCTGACTTTCAAGTTTTTTTTATTTAGGAAATACCTTTCATAAGATTTTAGCTGCATAGATACTAATTCCTCTGATGGATCTGGGAAAAAATCAGTTAAAAATCTTTTGAAAAGAATTTACTATTTTAGATGTCATTGAGTACATTTGGGAGGAAGTCAAATCGAAGTATCAGTATTAACAGGAGTTTGGAAGAAGTTGAATTTGAGGAGTTCAATATTTCAGTGGAGAAAATAAATGCAAAAGTGGTAGAAATAGCAAGAAAAATAGAATTAGAAGTGGAGCTCGAATATTTGACTGAATTGCTATAATCTCATGATAAAACTGTTACAGAAGAGGAGTTGCTTCTTATGGATGAAAGTGGTTCTTGAGATAGAATCTCCTCCTCTTGAAGATGCTGTGAACATTGTTGAAATGGCAAGTAAGGACTCAGAATACTACATAAATTCAGTGAATAAAGCAGTAGCAAGATTTGAGAGATCAATTCCAATTTTGAAAGAAGTTCTACTGTGGGTAAAAGGCTATAAAACAGAATTGCATGCTACAGATGAGTCAACTGATCTCACAAACCTCAGTGTCATCTTTTTAGAAATTGCCACAGCCACCCCAACCTTTGGCAACCACCACCCTAAATCAGTCTTCAGAAATCAGCATCTAGGCAAGACCCTCTCCCAGCAAAAAGAGATTATGGCTGGCTGAAGGCTCAGACAATTAGTAGCATTTTTCGTAACAAAGTATTTTTTAATTAAGGAGTGTACATTTTCTTAGACATAATGCTATTGCACACTTAATAGACTACAGTACAGTGTAAACATCACTTTTATAAGCATTGAAATATCAAAAAATGTGTGTGACTCTCTTTATTGAAATACTGGCTTTATTGCAGTGGTCTGGAACTAAACCCACAAAAGCTACAAGGTATGCTCATAGCTTGCCAGAAACCCAATAGTTAATTAAGAAATGTTAATAGAGAGTCTTAGTGGTACAATTTTGACTTCCAAAATGAAAGCATAGTATGAGTAATATACCATAAGTTCTCTTTAATGTAAAATTTAACAAATGGAAGAAAATGTAACTTCAAATTATATTCAAAATTCTGGATCATAATATAATTTCTATTTGAGAAAAGTATCTAGGACTAAAAAGTCATTGGAAGAGTTAATATTATAAAATAATGCATCAATTTTTGATAACAGTTATGTAAAAATTACAGCAAGTGGCCTTTGCTCTTAGTTTGTACATAAATTATGCTTCATTTTGCAGCCACATTGAGAATTTGGTTGACTAAAAATATCTTACTTTAAAATTAGCAATATAGAAACCATCTTTCCAATGGCCACCCAAGAAACTGAAGACTTCAAAGTATTTTTTATTCCTCATATTTTCCTCTTCATCTCACAATGAAACACTTCCTTTAGAGACAAATCAGTCACTCATTATCAGTCATCAAAAAAAATATCTGGACAAGCACAGTAGATTAGAACATTTTGTGCACTGAAATAAATTAGTATTTAACATGAAAGGAAAGGGATGCTCAGATTGGCTAGCAATGTTTGTAAAGAGCCATCCTTTGTTAGAAAAGAAGAAAGATAATAGAAATGAAAGAGGAAGCCTGTAATCCCAGCCCTTTGGGAGGCCGAGGCGGGCAGATCATGAGGTCAGGAGATCGAGACCATCCTGGCTAACACAGTGAAACCCCGTCTCTACTAAAAAATACAAAAAACAATTAGCCGGGTGTGGTGGCAGGCGCCTGTAGTCCCAGCTACTCGGGAGGCTGAGGCAGGAGAATGGCGCGAACCCAGGAGGCGGAGCTTGTAGTGAGCTGAGATTGCACCACTGCACTCCAGCCTGGGCGATGGAGCGAGACTCCGTCTCAAAAAAAAAAAAAAAAAAAAAAAAAAAAAAAAAAAAAAAGAAAAAGAAAAGAAATGAAAGAGGAAAAGGAGAAAAGCAATGAACAGAGTAAGAGAAAGAAGTAATGGTGATGGCTCTGGCATTGTGGTGATCCTTGAGGTATTTAAAAGCAATTCTATAGTCTTAATCTGAGCAGGGGTGTGTGTGTGTGTGTGTGTGTGTGTGTGTGTGTGTGTGTGTGCGCAAGCGCGCGCGCGCACGTCTTTATATGTATGTTTTGTTGAAGCACAAGCATTAACTCCATCTAGGTTGATCAAAATTTTTGTTTCTGGAATGTGCTCTTAGAAGCAACAGAGACACTGTTAGAAATGCAGATTCCTGGGTCCCATATCAGATCTACTAAGCCGGAGTCTGTAGGGATGAGAGTCAGGATTCCTCCTTTTTAACAATCTCAGGTAATTCTTATGAACTGTAAATATTGAGAACAGCCAGTGCCTTATAATGTATCAGTTATACAGCACATATATTATCATGATCATATCTACCAATATGGAAGAAGTAGTGTGGGCATCTGCTAATAAATAGACAACCTTCCTCTGGGATTTTCAGAATATGAAATATTATTACAAAAGAACATTTCTAAAATATTCTCTTTGTTTACTTAAAAACATCCAAAACATTACTGTGTTTTGAGGGGTCCTATAAGTTTGAGGCAGTGTTCTAGGCATTGAAGATTCAAAATAAAAATTGAAAAGACATATTCTCCACTCTTACAATCTAGTAAAGAAAGGGAGACATGGACATAAGTATGGATAATGAAGTGTTAAAGAGGCTATGTGAGAAGTTTATACAAGATACACTAGGAACGTAGGAGGGAGGTGTCGATCTGCCTGGGAGAAGTCAGGCCAGGAGAACCTTCCTGAAAAATGGCATGGAGGAACCTTGAGAAATGAGCAGATGTTTACCAGATATACAGTGAAGACACAGGCAAAGATTTCTCTCTGGTTAAAGCATCAGGGGAGGGGGGAGGGAAAGCATTAGGAGATATACCTAATGTAAATGACGAGTTAATGGGTGCAGCACACCAACATGGCACATGTATACATATGTAACAAACCTGCACATTGTGCACATGTACCCTAGAACTTAAAGTATAATAAAAATATCTATATATCTATATATATATATATAAAGCATCAAATGATATAGTTTGGATCTCTGTTGCCACCCAAATCTCATGTCAAATCTTAATACCCAATGTTGGAGGTGTGGCCTGGTGGGAGATGATTGGATCCTGGGGTAGATTTCTCATGAATGGTTTAGCACCAACACCTTGCTGCTGTCTCAAGACAGTGAGTGAGTTCTTTTGACCGATCTGGTTGTTAAAGCATGCAGCACCTCCCCGCCACTCTCTCTTGATCCTGCTCCTGCCATGTGAGATACCTGCTCCCTCTTTACCTTCCACCATGATTAGAAGCTACCTGAGGTCTCCTCAGAAGCAATGCCTGCATTATGCTTCCTGTACAGCCTGCAGAACCGTGGGTCAATTAAACCTCTTTTCTTTATAAATTACCCAGTCTCAGGTATTTTGTTATAGCAATGCAGGAATGGACTAACACAACATGGGAGATATACCTAATGCTAGATGACGAGTTAGTGGGTGCAGCGCACCAGCATGTCACATGTATACATATGTAACTAACCTGCACAATGTGCACATGTACCCTAAAACTTAAAGTATAATAAAAAAAAAAGAGATGTTACTTTTGCCCAGAATTCTAAAACCTATTATTAAACATTGAAAAAAAAAACTGTGATCTGATGTAGATGGAATAATTCTCTATTACTACCCATCATCAACAACGCTTACCCCATCTCAAACACAAGGAAGTTTATGATAAGTAAAGTATATAAGCATACGCAAGCTGAGCAGAAGGTCTATGGCAAACATGAAGCAGAAATAATTCATCAGGATTCAAATAGTGGTGTCAACTGCAAGCAATTGGGAAGGAAAATATTCTCTGGATGAAACAAAATCCTGGAGAAAAGGCTGACAAATTTTAATTCCCTAATGAAACAAATAATAGGCAATCATTAGCTTCGAGAAATACCACTGTTTTTGGATGCTCAAAAAGGACCAGTATTGTCAATATACCTTGGCATGACACTTCCCTGAACAATGAAGGCACTAAAAAGAGACAGAAAGTAAAGAGGAAACAAAGAAGAAATTACACTTGCTATATATCAGTAAATCTTTGTGACTTCTCAATATATAATGTTATCAGAGTATCAGAAAATAGAGGGATTTTTATTGCAAGGATAAGCTTTTCACATGTTGAGCAATGATTCTCTGAGCACATTTCAGTATGACTAACAATCATTTAGGTCAGTAGCAATGGCAATTTTTCCTCTTTACAACTAATCACTTTACCATTGTAAAAATAAATAAGACAAAAAAATTCTCAGCCTGGTGATGTGAGGCATGAGAAGTTCCAGGGAATAGCATTTTATAGAAACCATCAGTTTAAAATATCTCCAAAATCCAAGTTTTACTGTACATCTTTTCCTTAGTGATTTAGTCATATTGTAAATGACTATTTCTTATACCCCCATAACAGATATGATTGTATACAAACAGGAAACCATACGTGTTTATAAAAATAAGCAAGGTAGTATTCTAAGCCATAGCTAGGGATAAAATCCTAAGTCTAGGACATCCGTGAATTTTTATGGCTTTTAAAATATATGTGTCTTAGCCAAAATCAAGAAAGAAGCTGTGAAATCAAAGAAGCTGTGAAAAAGATGAAGATGAAAAAATATGACTCTATGTTTAATTATCTTTTCTTAACTACTCAAAGGGAGTTTTCATAAGATACCTAACAGCAAGATGAAGTCAATAATAAAATTACTACTAGATCTTATTAAAAGATAATTTGGAGAGTATAGGCCTGCCAATTTTTCAAAATTTCTTTTCTTATCAAGAATGATCTAGATATGCTGTTTCAAATCTAGACTTATTTTAACATTTTTGAAATTACAGCCCTTTCATAGCTAGTGTCTTTTACTTTGTTAAATCCTAAAAAATAATTATGAAATCTGATTAAATCACTGCCTTTCTTTAAACCATTGCTCCGAGAATAAGACACATACTTCAACACTTTAAAGAAACTTTCTTTTTCTGCTCTTCAGCCATTTGTCTTGCTACTGTATAATTTATACTATACCATATTTCTTTATTTCTTTTTGTTATTTGAACCAGTCATGCTGTTCTTTGCCTCCAGGTCTTTATTTGTCCTCTGCATAGAACAATTCCCCTAGCATGTTGGCACCCATTTGCAGTTTTGAACTACCTTTTTATCTATTTTACACACTTAGTTTAGAAGACTCTTGAAGGCAAGAGAAAGTCTCACTTAATCATTACTGTATCTCTAGCCCCAATGCAACGTCTACCACATGGTAGATCTGCATTTCTGTTCTCTCTCTCTCCCTCCTCTCACCAACAATATAAATGAAGGAAAGAAGGAAATATTATTCACGTCACTTCTTTCCATTTCTAACTAGCAGAAGAGACTACTTTGTAGATTATTCATAGGAAACAGGCCCCTTTACATGTCTAGAAACTCTTCTCACTGAAGAACAAGCAGCTTTGAGAGGGTCATAAATAGGTCAGTGAGAAACAGGCACCTGCCTAAGTAGCCTAATTCCCTAAATCAAACCTGGAAAACAATCAGATGAGAGCGATATAGCAAACTTAACTTCCATATCTATTTTCATGACTTCGGAAAATGAAGGCACACAAAGTAAGAGGAACTGAGTAAATTTTCCAAAATTACGTATCTACTACGTGCCAGAATATAGATTTAAATCTTTATCCATTGAAAAGCTGTAATACTAAAAATAACGATGAAAGCAGGGGAGTTTAACTTAGGATCCACTTAAATTAACTGAAATGTTTTTACAAATCCAAAAATAACTGAAATATTTTTATATAAAATAGCAAAATTTAGTCTATAGGGAAATACCAAATGTTATGTTTTATGATCTCTTTAGCACACAGCTATGCTTCATTTATATTATTTTTTCAGTAATAATTTTATTTGGAAATACAAAATCCAAACATATTTGAAAGACTGATAATAGTACTAGGGAGAATATGCAAAAGCAGACATTCTTATTCATGTTTCTAAGATTATAAATTACCATAGTAATTTATACTATATAATTTATAGGGCAACTTGGAAATATCAATAATCTGTAAAAAATATATATATACCTCTTGGCTAGCAATTTCATTCTGGAAATATCTTAGAAAAATATTCCCAGGAATATACAAAACTACACGTAGAATAATGTTTCTGTAGCATTCTTTTTTAAAAAACATTGGAAACATTACCCAAAGTTCCAACAATGAGACAAATAAATTGTGTTTTATGCAAAGGGTTACTATGCAAGTGCTGAAAAGAATGTGTTGGCACTATACTATGTGGAAAGAAAAAGTTGTCCAAGATAAAAGGAAGTGGCAGAACACCGTATATAGCATAATTCAATTCTGGGCCAGGCACAGTGTCTCATGCCTGCAATTCCAGCACTTTGGGAGGCTGAAGTGGGTGAATCACCTGAGGTCAGGAGTTCACGACCAGCCTGGCCAACATGGCCTCTATTAAAAATACAAAAAATTAGCGGAGCATGGTGGCAGGCTCCTGTAATCTCAGCTACTTGGGAGGCTGAGGCAGGATAATCACTTGAACCTGGGAGGCAGAGGTTGCGGGGAGCCGAGATCGCACCATTGCACTCCAGCCTGGGCAACAAGAGCGAAACGCTGTCTCAAAGAGAAAAAAGAAAAAGAATGTCTAATAAATTTGAAAACATGCATAGGAGAACTATCAGTAATAACACAAAACTGGAAACAACCCAAGTATTCAACAATAGAATAAATATGTATATTTTGGGGGCATTCATTCAATAGAATTCTACAGTACAATGAAAATAAATTATTGCTACATGCAAGAATATTGACACAGCTCACAAAAAATTTTGAACAAAAGGAATCTGGGCCAGGCATGATGGCTCATGCCTGTAATCCCAGTACTCTGGGAGGCTGAGCAGGGAGGATCGTTTGAGACCAGGAGTCCGAGAACAGGCTGGGCAACAGAGCAAGACCCTGTCTCTAGGGAAAAAAAAAAAAAATCCGATACAAAAATGCATACTTCATGATTCCGTTTATGTAGATTCTAAAAACAGACAAAACTATTCTACAGTCTTATTAGTCAGAAGCTATCTTTGGAGAACAGTAAGGCGATAGTGATTAAGTGGGGCTGGAAGCGGGGTACCTGGGTGCTGACAAGATTCTTTCTTCTGAAATGAGTGTTGATTTCATAGTATGAATACTTTGTTATAGCTCATTGGGCCAAATGTTTTCTGTATGTCTGCCATTCTTTAATGAAAAAGGGAAAAGGAAAGAATGTAATAATACAGTGTTTTACTTAAAGTTGATGTCTTAGGTTCATTACCACTCAACTTGTGCAGAAACCAAAATTAGAAAATAACATTTTTTGAGAAACCAGGTTAATTTTCAAGCAATCTGAAAGTTGTTATGCTCTCCAAAATAATATAAGTAGACCAAAAGAAAAATAAAGTCAATCCATTAGGCATTTACAAATATTTTAAATTATATTACACCACATTTAATGTATAAAAATACTCTACAAAGGAAAGTTTTATCTGAGATAAAATTCTATTACAGTAAACAGCTTTTCAAGCTAGAATATTATAAATATTATTTATAATATTCATCTTGTCTGTTACAGTTAACAAATCTGTACTTTTAGTAACCATGACAATTAAATACTATCAGATTAGAAGCCTTAGGAGAGAATTACTGTTTATGGTTTGAGATGTTAGAAAGCAAAATTAGGGCAGAAATGCATAAAAACTTCTGGTGCTTGTGTCAAAATTCAAATGATTGGCCTATTAGAGGCATATTTAAATGACACATTGTAATGGTCCAATTCATGCTTGGGAAACTGCACCATGTAAATTACTGTAGTGAAAGATATCAATAAGATATTCATAAATAAAACATATGCAAATTTAGAATGATTTAATTCCTTGTATTAATACTAAATTTATTTGAGGGTCTAGGGATAGATTCCGGTCACTTAGAATAGCAGCATTTTAAACCGTGACTCACAAAGTACTAAAACCAGCTATCATGAGCACTGGGGGTTGGTGCTGAATAACACAGCAATTAAAAACTTGGACTTCAGAGTCAGACAATCTGGGTGTGAATTCTAGCCTCTCCATGCATTAACTTTTTAATAACTAACTTCCCTGATCTGCAAAATCGGAATAATAAACTTTAAAAATCCTTTTCACTGGTTTTGTAAAGTTTTGAGATGGTCATGTGCAACACATTTTTTTTTAAATGCCCAACACAGAGTGAGTGCTCAATAAGTGATTGTTAGTAATTGAGGTGCAATTATAGAGAAGATGTTTGCACAAGTCAATTTTTAAAAATCAATCTTATATCTCGGTGTTTGTAATTTTCAAACTAGGATAGATTGCCATTCTTACTAAGTACCCATCTGTTTTTCATAAATTTCTTTTTCATCACTTGTGCTATTTCCTAAAAAATGCATTTGACCTATCTGGTTCTCCAAGATTACACAGAATATATGCTAAGCCAAAACCTGAAGACTAAAGTTGAACATTGTCTACTAAACAAAGAAAATCCAGTTTATTTTTTATTTTTTTTTTTATTTTGAGACAGAGTCTCACCCTGTCACCCAGGCTGGAGTGCAATGGCATGATCTCAGCTCCCTGCAACCTCTGCCTCCCGGGTTCAAATGATTCTCCTCCCTCAGCCTCCTGAGTAGCTGGGATTATAGGCATGTGCCACCATGCCCAGCTAATTTTTGTATTTTTAATAGAGATGGGGTTTCACCATGTTGGCCAGGCTGGTCTCAAACTCCTGACCTCATGATCTGCCCGCCTCGTCCTCCCAAAGTGCTGGGATTACAGGCGTGAGCCACCATGCCTGGCTGAAAAAAATATTTTAATAATTCAAGTTTTAAAAAAAAAGTAAGGGAAAGAGCATTGTACTTGTCACCTAATATAAAAGGCAAATACTTCAAAACAAACAAAAGAAAGGGTAATATGGTGTGTGTGTGTATGTGTGTGTGTTCTAAATGATCAAGTAACTAAATATAAGACTTTAAAATATGTTTAAAGCAAAAAGTTCTGTCAGCTGGTTTCTTCTCAGATTACTAAAAATCTAAGTAAAAACCCTATATAGGTAATAATGCAATACATTTTTACTAGATTGCTCAGGACTTTCAGGGGATTATTATTATCAAGATTGTTGTCCTTAACCTAGACAAAATCATGGCAGTCATCTCTCAGTGAAATGTTCTGGGCCAACCATAACACATGGGACACTCAACTATGAGCAAGATCATCTTACTTGTCCAGATTTGCCACTAACGTGTAACCTTGGGCAAATTAGTTACTTCTCTGAGCTTTTTTTTTTTATCTGTAAATGTGGATAACCATGCCTTTGAATCTAACTTTCAAAACTGTTACGAAGGATCAAATAAGGCTATGCATGTGACCATGCTTTGTAATCTACCAAAGATGACACCAATGGAAGACCTTTTATTAAATAAAGAAAAGTGAAATTAACTTTGCCATTATTTAATTCCAACACAGCTAAATTTATACATCGACATTATCCATGTAACTATGCATTCCTCTTTCCTTTTAAAATGCAGAATTATTTAAAAGATATTTATTGACTGATTTAGCAATTTGGAATTATTGGCTGTCCTAGGCATGCTTTTCATTACAAAATTCCTCATTAAAAAAAAACTCTCTTTTATTTACTCTGTATAAATCAACAAAACCAGGAAGTTAATTTTTGAAATATTGTGAAGATTGACATAATTTTTAGCTTTTATTGATTGGTTTCCAGGGTAAAGATATGAATCCTTCATTTGTTGAAATCCTAAAAACTAATTTAGTCTTAACCTTCTTTTATTCATTTCTTCAGAAAATATTTATTAAGTATCAACTCTATGTCAGGTCCTCTATCAGACACAAAGAAAAATAACATATGGTGTCTATCCTCAAGGACTTACGGTGGAGGCAAGAGACAAGTAACCAATCAGTACAATATAGTATGGTAAGTGACACGGCAGGGATATCCACAGGGAGTCAAAATTTAAGACTGGGAATTCAGGGGAAGTCCTCCAAGAAATGGTGGCACCTGACCCAAGGCATGAAAAGGTTAGGTCAGTTAAAAAGCAGACAAGAAAACAGGTTATTTATAGTAGAGAATAGAACATGGGGAACATGGGAGGGTGTTGCGAGAAAAGAGGAAACAAGATGCATTAGGAGAAGGCAAACCGTTCAGTTGATTGACATTACGGGAGATTGGAGATGGAAGAAATTTGATTAATCAGAAAATGAATCTAGAGAAGTTACCACGTACCATTTAATAAAGGACTTTAGGTGCAATGCAAAAGACTTCAGACATCTTACTAATACAAAAAAAGGGGAACTAACTCAAAAAATTTTCAGCAGAGGAAGAATACGATGAAATTGGTTTTAGAAAGACAACTGTGGTTATGACATATAGAATGTACTTAGAAGAAGGCGACTATGAGGGAGGAGAATGAAATAGGGACTTCAAACTCTGAATATGTTTCTTACACAGAAAACAATGTTGTAAAAAAATTTAAGTGGCTGGTCTCATGGCCGGTCATGGTGGCTCACGCCTGTAATCTCAGCACTTTGGGAGGCCGAGGCGGGCGGATCACAAGGTCAGGAGATCAAGACCATCCTCGCTAACACGGTGAAACCCCATCTCTACTAAAAATACAAAAAAATTAACTGGGCGTAGTGATGGGCACCTGTAGTCCCAGCTACTCGGGAGGCTGAGGCAGGAAAATAATGTGAACCCAGGAGGCGGAGCTTGCAGTGAGCTGAGATCACGCCACTGCACTCCAGCCTGGGCGACAGAGCGAGACTCCGTAAAAAAAAAAAAAAAAAAAAAAAAAAAATTAAGTGGCTGGCCTCAAAGCACGCTGCTAGTAACTGACTGAGCTAGGTTTCATGCAAAGCTCTGCATAACTCTTAACACCTATGCTCTGGAGAACCGGGCAAACCTGCCTCTCATAAAAGAAACTAAAGCAACCAGCCCTAAGCAAATTGAGTAGTAACAAGACAGTGCAGGAAAAGTGGTGACATGCTCAGGTCTACACCATCAAAATCAAGTACAGGAGTGAAAAATTATCTACTGAGTTAAGGACCATCTGGATAATCCTGGCAGAAGCAGATTTAGTGCCTGAGTCATTCAGATAATTGTGCAAACAATGTGCCCTGCTCTGGCTGAGTAACCTGGCCATTAATATCTTCCATAGTGCATTCTGCCCTGTGGCTCTTTTAAAATGGACAATAGTAGCTCAGAAAGAATTAAGGTACTATTCACTTCATGGGAGAGCTGCCTAAAGAATAATAGGATCTTAATAGACTGAGTGGATTTTATGTGTCCCCAGAGCCATTTCGCACTGGGATATACATATGATATACATAAGCCAGATTCTGCTTCAAAGGAGGAAAGAAGTTCAGCAATAGCACCGTCACATGTTGTTTTTATATTCAATTCTCCGTTAAGTGGTAGAAAGTTTTCTGAACCTGAAAGCTACAAAGAGACACTACTGCAAATAGATTTATAAACTACAGTAAAGCTATACATTTCTGTGTGTTAGAAAGCATTTTTTAAAATGCAAAGAACAAGATGCAGACAATTTTTGCAGTATACCTCAGATTTCCTATTACATGAAGAAAATATGAACACTCCAATAAAGAGTCAAATGAAATTCACAAATTAAAAAATACAAAGAACCTATAAATATAACATTTTTGAACTCATCCAAAATCATAGGAACAATAACTCAGAAGAATAACTAGATACACAATTTGTACTATCAAAATGATCCCAATTTTTAAAAATAATATCAAGTGTTAATGAGAGTATGGCCAAACTGGTACAACCACTGGTAGAGAATAAATCTGTGCTTACATTTTGGGGGAAGCAATTTGGCAGTAAGTGTTATGAGGCTAAAAATATTTACACTTTTGCCTGGGTAACTTCTAAGGTGTCATAAGGAAATGGTCAGAAATGCAAATATTAATGTATACAAAGGTTCATGTTCTTGACGATGCAAAACTGAAAACAATCTGAAGATCTATCATAGAATATTGACAGCCAAAAAACACATGGATAGTAAGAATATTAAATGAAATGAATAAATGTTTATGGTATATTAAGTTTAAAAAGCTAAATACAAAAGTGAATGTTCACTGTAAACTCAAATCTATAATTGAAAAATACCTATTTATATTAATAGAAATAAGACTAGAAGATTGAAATAGGATCTCTTTGTACTGCGGAATTTGGTGGATTTTTCTTTATTCCCAGTATTTCTTTAATGATTTTAGATGTCCTTATAATAATAAGATATTATTTTCAATTGAATATTAAATAGATAGACTTTTGAGTGTAACTTTACACAGTTGGTCATTCATATTATTGAAGTGAAATAATGCCCCATCCTCCTGCTGCTACATTTCCAAGGTCACACAACGGATCAGTCCTGTTGTCAGGAGTTGAACCTGAGTCTCCTGCTCCAAAATCAGTGCTTTTTAAGATACGAACTAAAGTACAGTGAAAGTTTCAAAGGAAAGTAGAAGCACTAATGAAAATTGAAAACACATTATACCAATAATACATGGCATCTTAGATTAAAGCAGATAGACTTATAAATTGGAAGTTTTGATAACTTGCCTACTGGACTCATCCAGGCATGGAGTGCCAGAAGAAACTAGTGCTGGAATAAGCAGAGAAAGATACAAATTAGAGTTGAAAATAAAAATGAATCAATTACTGACTATATGGTGAACACTTGGACTAGAGGAAAGAAAGTCTTAAAAAGTAACTAACCACAAGCCAGAAAGCCTGTAAAGTTGTAGTCTCCATTGATAAAAGCCAGTTTAGGAATGATGCCTATTGATGGGGAAAAAGCAAAACCAGTTTTCACCTTGTGCATTACAATTGCTACAATAGCACTTCTATTATTAATAGCTATTCTTTATGAGTAATTACCATGGGCCAAACCTTATTTTGAATGTTTAACACGCATTATCTCACTTAATATTTTACAAATCACAAAATCCTCTCACGTAAGTGCTATGATAATCCCCAGTTGACTTGCTGATGTTCGCTTAACTGCATCATGATACATAAATATTAACACCTGCAGGCTTCCTCCCAAAGCCTGTGCTCTTAGCCGATAGGGTAAGTGTAAAGGAAATGGCTAATGGGAGGGAGATTAGGAATGGAAATGCAGAAGGAGAACTTTATTTTCAATAAGATAAATTGTCATCAATTTGGGGGATTTGCTTGAAAGCTAGAAGTAGAAAGAGAAGATAAGAGGGAGACAAAGAAAGGAAAGTTAGAAAAATTAAGAAAAAAGTACGCTATCAGAGCATTGTGGTGTCAAGGAGCAAAATTTCAAGAAGATGGACAATATGGAAAATAGAAGGTCAGAAGAGAACAATCGATAATACATCAATAAAAAGAAAACAAACATTGGAATTGAGGAGGAGCTTACTGGTGAGTTAGAATAAGTTGTGGGATATGATAGAGACCATGGCCAATTTACATGTAGAAATAGATGGAAATTGGAGAATTTGTTGATTTTTTTTGAAATAAGGCAATTACAGGACATATTTTGTATACAGAAATATAAATTGTCTATTTCAGCTCTTCCTAGTTGGTCTCAAGGGACACAAGATACAAGAGAATACATAGAACCAGTACATAGTCATAATCCCTACTGTAGAACCGAGTCATTCTATGAAAAGATATAGAAACACCTTATGTCATCCATTACTCCTCATGGAGAGGATCATAAAGCCAGAGGAAGTTTCCTCCCAAGGCATAGCCTTCTACCAAAAAAATATCCCCAAATCATTGCTGCACCCATCCAGCTTCTTAGGATGATGCTTCCTGAACAAGAATCTTTAAGGCTACTTATTATAGGACTGTGTTCAATGTGGTGGGGTATACAAAAAGATTATAAGTGTAGTCTTTTTCTGCAAAGTACTTCCTAATTAGAAAACAAATCAGACATACAAATGAGGATTAAGCAACAAAATAAGACTAAGTATGATTAAGTTCCCAAGTGAAAATAGTCTACTAGAGATTCTGAAGAGGAGTGATCGTTTTGTTAGAACCATGAATTTTAAAATGCATTTAGTTGATACATACCTATGTATTGTTATTATTACCAGTAGCCCTGTTTATTAATGACCCACTATGCGCCCATCCCCATGATAGAAACATGCATGCTTTTTATGGCCCTCATAGCAACCTGAAATTTCAATGCTATAAAATTCCTTTTGAAGACAAGAAAACAGATTCTCAGAGTTTAATTATCTTGCTCCAAATCAGATCATCAGGAAGTTGCAGAGCAAAATTAAAAGCCAGCTCGCACTGCCTATGATGGTAACTTGGTAGATTAAATAATTTATCTTCAAAATGACTTGGCAAGTTAGAATTTTGTTCTTAAAACACAGAATTAAATTTTGTAGGGATACATGTCAGACTAGAACCGAATAAACTTGGTTTATATTGTTCCTGGTATCAACATTAACCACATTTTGTTGCCAGGACCAAAAATCCTGGGAAGCTAAAAAGTATTCTATTTGAGGGGAAACTGCTATGCAGTATAATTACACGGCAGGTTGTTGGAATATTAAAGTTTTCAGAAGACTTTCAACCAATCACTTGTGTCTTCTGAATCTTAGTTTCTTCATCTGTGAAAATGGAAAGGTTGTCATCAGGAATAAGTAATTTCAGGGAATGGCAAAGATAAATGCACATACATCAATCTATAAAAGAAAGTTCACATAGTACAAATAGATGTGATATGAAAAAGCAGTACAAATTTAAATATCAGGTCCACATGTAAAATCTGTACAAAGAAATACCTCACATCTACCCCCGCAAGGGTTCTAGCAGTTCCTTAGTCCTGGAAAGTGGGTGGATCCATTCCCAGATCCCCAAATGCTGTTAGCCATAAGTTACCACTGAAATAAATTTACTACCAAATAACCAAACCATTATGCCGAGTCTAATAAAATATCCCAGATACGGCATGTATTAATTTGATTTGCGTTACACTTCGGGCTGGTAAGGTTCATATGTACACTTAGAAACCGAAAAATGCGGCGAAATGGATGAAGATTATATTGGCACTCTAAGAATGTTTGCAAAATACTGAAATATTGAAAACATGAAATATGACATATTGAAAACATGAAATATGAAATATTGATCTTTACGTGAGTTACAAAAACATTATTTCACGCAGGGTTTCAGCAGTCTGAATGCTTCTTCTCCGGCTTTTCCCCCAATGGAGAATTGGATTCCCTTTTGCCCCGCCCACTCAGTGCTTCCAGATTGCTTGAGAAGGCCAAGGCAGCCGGCTCAGCAGCAGGGAAGCCGGGCTGGGTATGCAGGAGCTATATATAGCTCCACCTTGGAGATGTGCACACACAAGCACACGTACGAATACCCATGCCCGGTTTGGCATGAAAATAAATAAATAAATAAGGAAAGGTCGCAGCTATCCGCTTTCCCTCTTTCCCATCATCCCAATTTTTCAGGAATTTTCAAAGCAGGGTGTCATCAGTCCCAGAGGGTGATGCAGCGTCGGATCTCTCTGCAATTCTTCTGCCTACTGCTCCCAGCAATCTGACTCCTGCAGGAACCGGCACTGGGCCAACACCTACTACCCAGATGCGGTCACCTAGGGAGGCAGCCTCGCAGCCGCTCGGAGCCCATCCGGGCACAATCACTTGACTCCCTGGAAATCCCTGAAGCCAAATCCACCTTTCAGAAACTAGGTGTGAAGGTGGTTCCCGTAGACAGCGCCAGGCTAGGAGGGAAGGGGCCGTGGCTCCGCGGTCTCTCCCTCCCACCTGCCGCAGATCGTGGAGAAGGGCCGGTGCCTTCTCAACGGAGACGTAATTAATCGGAACGTGCCCTTCGAGTTGCAGGGATTCTTCCCCACCCCCATCTCCTGAAGGGAGCTAGATCTTAACAGAGGGGTCAGGGGACAAACAAGTCGCTTCCTCCCCTCTCCGCAACCGCTCCCAGGTTTTCCGGGATGCGCTAGCCAGGCGCCCAGGTGGGATGGGAAAGATGAGCAGGTGCGGGCCGGCGTCGGGAGAAAAAGACCTGCAGGCCCCGGGCTGCCGACCTCTCTGCTTCCCCACCCCTCCCCTGCCGAGGCGATATGGCATCCCTGGGGCGAGTTCCCGGCGCTGGCGGCGGCAGCCTCCGAAAGGAAAGTTGACGAGACACAGACCCCGAGCTCGGAGCCCTCTTCTAGGGCACTGCCGTCCTGCCTTGCCCGGCACCCCAGGGCTCCGGCATCCCGCACCCCTGCTTCCCCGCACCCCAGCCACCTCCGCCCCAGTCCTTCCCGCGCCGCACGGCGAGAGCTGCAGGGACCACAGGAGATTTGGGGGTGACGAGGGCTGGGCGGGGCTGGGGGAAGGGAAGCAACAGCATGGAAATGCGCATTCTTTATTTTATCTGCAAAGAAGGAAAAGTCCAGCTTCCTACCTGTTCCCTGCTCCTGCTCGCCTCGGTGCGGCACAGCTGGACCATACCCTACAGGTTTCCCACTTCCGCTGCAAACACCTGGGAGCGCATCTCCCCACCGGCGCCCCTCCTCGCCTCGGCGGAGCCCACCCTGGCTACTTGACAGCAGAAGCCCGGCCTTTTAGGGCGGTTATTGGGGCAGCAGGGAAAGTGGGGCGGGGACCACAGGGAAACCCGCTTCTCTGATTGGACAACAGGGATATCACTCTCACCCCCAGGACCAGCGCAGGCTGCAGACTTGGGTAGCTGCTAAACCCAACTGCAAAGGGTCTCTGCAGTGCCTGAAACCCAAACCTGCTGCTACCGGATCAAGGACCCTTGCTGGAGAGAAACTGGTTTGATGACTTGTCATTTGGGGCCCCAAGAGGGAGGGAGGGTCCAGGCATAACTAGACACCCAGCACTTTCCTGAAGCTTCCCTGAAGGGACCATCTGCTCCGGGAGATTTGTCAGGCGAAAATACCAAGCCAGCGCCTCATAGAGAAGAATGAGCTTCGATTAGGAAATAATAAGATACTTATGTGGGAAAAAATACACACACAGAAAGGAAAATAAAACGATGTGAGGTTTTTTTTTAAAGTTTCCATTTTTGTCCAGATGTAACATGGCAGTTTTTCTTGAGAAAAGACGGAATTGCTTAGTCTGTAATGCAGAAGACCCCCTAATATTCCCTGGTAGAAACAGTGTTTTAAACGGGAAAGCACTGCATAATAACCTCTCAAAAAAAAAAAAAGGGTAAAAGAAATTAAGGCCAAACTGCATGAGAGATTTGCTTTGGGGCAGTTCAGTTTGTGGCAAAAGTCTTAAAATAATCACCATTAGACTGATTGATAATTAAGTGATCTGTTACTTTTCTATTGATAGTAGTTTATCATTTCTTTAGTACTCAGACACTGAGAGGATGTTTATGCCCCCAAACCTAAGTGATCCCAAGCCTGCCTTTTATGTGAAGGGAACAGGGTAAAATAACTTTGTGTCCAGTTGCCATCTCTGCCATTTATTCAGGTGGAATCTGGAAATTTTGGAATTCAAGAGACTCCTTAAATGAAGGAACGTGCTAGAACTACCACGTGTAAAACTGGGAGTGTAGGGTGTCTTAGTATATAGTACCATGTGAGGAATCAAGTTGCCTTCTGCCTGCAAATAGCCACATTCTTCTTCTATCTGAATTAAGTAGCCATCTTAAGTGCTGAGCATAAGACACAACTCTCATTCTCACAGAGCTTCAAAGAGCTTATGACAGGCTTGGGACACTGGACAACTGTTAGAGAAGATGACATTGCTATTAATAAATATAGACTCTACTTAGTGGTTACGGTTGTTATTACTATCATCAGGTAAGGCTCTTCATAATGTTTTCTTCATAATACTGAAGGAATCCGATTAATGCATTTGAAGGTGGGGGCCGGGCGAGGTGGCTCATGCCTGTAATCCCAGCACTTTGGCAGGCGAGGCAGGCGGATCACAAGGTCAGGAGATCGAGACCATCCTGGCTAACACGGTGAAACCTCGTCTCTACTCAAAAAAAAAAAAAAAAAAAAAAATACAAAAAATACAAAAAATTAGCCGGGCATGGTGTTGGGCGCCTGCAGTCCCAGCTACTCAGAAAGCTGAGGCAGGAGAATGGCGTGAACCCAGGAGGCGGAGTTTGCAGTGAGCGGAGATTGCGCCACCGCACTCCAGCCTGGGCGACAGAGCGAGACTCCGCCTCAAAAAATAAAATAAAATAAAATAAAATAAAATAAAATAAAATAAAATAAAATAAAATAAAATAAAATAAAATAATAAAATAAAATAAAATAATGCATTTGAAGGTGGGAAGGGACCCTGGAGAAAATTTACAGTGAACAAATAGATATTATTTGTGTGGTGACAACCATCTTAACACTGAATGGAAATGACTAAATATGCCGTGGCAAAATTTCAGAACCCCTGTGTCATTTCTTACACAATACTCCTATTAGTCATGCACCTCTGTCCCAGGTACTCACACCAGTTATTCCATTGGATTGGCCAAATCATTCATGAATTACTGAGTACTTTTTCAATGCCATACCCTGTGTTAGGTGCTACAGAACTAAAGCAGAATAATGTATTGGACACATTAAAGATGATCTCAGGAAGCAATTACAATAGTAATATTTCTAAGGAATGTGTGTTTGCAACACGAACATCTTTTGATTCCTAAGCATAAATTATTTTGAGTCAAAATGAGCTTCAACATACTCTCCTCTAGAGGTAATCAGAGGAGAAGAAAAAGTATCAAAGAAAATACCTAAATATTGAAGACAACACAAGAATTGAAATTGGTAATGAAAAGAAAACTAAAGACATCTCTGCTATCTGCGTTCTTTCATTGCTTCACTCATTCATTCCTTCAACAAATATTACTATTATAAATGTGATGGTGAATAAAATAGGCAAGCTCTCATGGAACACATTCTTTATTCTTCAAGCAGACAATGTTACTTTGTGCATTTACTGTGATCTAATTAGCAGCTTTGTGTGTACATGCAAACACAACTCTGGAACAGTATTAAGATAATTTCTCTCTGGATCAGGCATCTCACACATTTTCAAGTAAAACAGAGCATTTTCAGGTTATTGCTTATTATCTCAAAGAGAAAAACCTGTACATATGTTCCCACAATACAAATGAATATGTCAAAGGTATCTGCTGCTGCAGAACATTTTAGATTTTCCAAATCACTTTCAGATACAATTTCCCTCTGTGTTCTAAAATAAGCAGGAGAGTCATCATTAGTCGCATTTCACCATGAGGAAATTGAGTAACCAAAGAGAAATGTGGTCCTTCAAAAACAAAGGCAGTAAACTATTATAGGTGGGTATATAATGCTTGGCATATTGCAGACATCTAATATGTATTTGCTGACAAATATATGGTTTTGAAAATATGAAAGTTTGAAGGATCTTAGAAAGTATTGAACTCCTTGTAATGCCAGCACTTTGGGAGGCCGAGGCAGGCAGATCATCGGAGGTTGGGAGTTCGAGACCAGCCTGACCAACATGAAGAAACCCAGTGTCTACTAAAAATACAAAATTAGCTGGGCATGCTGGCCCATGCCTGTAATCCTAGCTACTCAGGAGGCTGAGGCAGGAGAATCTCTTGAACCTGGGAGACGGAGGTGGTTGCGGTAAGCCGAGATGGCACCATTGCACTCCAGCCTGGGCAGCAATGGGAGCAAAACTCTGTCTCAAAAAAAAAAAAAAAAAGAAAAGAAAAAGAAAGAATTGTTGAATTCCACTCATTATTCTGTGAGGGAGGGACAGAATTTGCTTAAGGTCATGTGACTAGTTAGGGGAAAGCTGCAGCTAGACCCCAGGTCTTAAGACTTCATTCATTACTTTTTCTACCACATGAACAATAAGAGTTTTGGTATTTCTTTCAGCAGAGTTCCTTCTCTTTTTCCTCCCTGTATCATCCAGCCTTTTGATGTTTTCAGGACTGATCCAGCTGGTGTACTCATCTTCCAGCGTCTATAAAAATATGTGAAAGCATGCCACTTTAACTATAAATTCAGCTCAGATTCAACGTGCTTGTAAGTTTGAGGTCGGCTTCATGAGTATGGGATCAGAGTCATCAGGACTGGTGTCGAGGTATGAAGAAAGCTGTTGGAAAATGAATGGCCAGCTGGCACTTCTGTCCCTAAAATTAGGAAGAAGGGAATTATAGAAACAATAGTCTGAAGGCTTCCAATCTGGCAGTCTGGTATAGAACCTGTCTGCAGATCTTCAAAAGAAACAGTAGGACAATTTTGTCATGTGCCCTGGATGGCTCTGACTCCCTAGTCACTTACAGAGTTCCATAGTACAATTTACTGGGCATTGCTTTGCTAAACTGCCCTTGGCCTTATTGAATTCTCCTGTCTTCCCCTCCTTTTTCCACCCTGCACTGGCCCTCCTTCTTCAAACATTCCAATTTCCTCCAACTAGTGATTAAACCTCAGTGAAGGGAAAGGAAACTACAGCAACAGTGCAGCTTTCCACAGCATGTACTCCCTTTCTTTCTCCTCTGCTCCGCCCACCGTTTCCTCACTTCTCCAGGCTTCCCAGAACAATTTCTAACATACTCGATATGGCAAAAAAGCAGGAGAGTAAGGAAAACGGGCCTTTTCCAATTAATATTTTAAGCTGCAATTACCACAGCAGAAAGGTAACCAAGGTTCTGCCTGCTGGTTTAAAGAGAGTCATGCTAAACCCAGTCTGCAGCATCTCAGAGATCACGTCAGCTCACTGACCTAGCTTTTACATAGCCAACTGGGAATCCAGGCAATGGGATGGATGCACAGTGCACCAAGCTTGCATGCACACACACACACACACACACTATCAGTGCCACGTGGTGGGGAGACCAGGACGGGAAAGTTTTTGAATACTAAATACTGCATATATATTAAACGGCAGCAACTTGCTACTCATGCAGAGCCACTGTAATCTTTTTAGGGATTAAGAGTAATATTTGAATCTCTTAGCTTTAGCAGTAACTGCTATGCACCAAAAGAGCAAATTTACAGAAAAGGACACATGCTAATATTGCAAGGACATCTTCACATCTATTGTTTCACAATGGAGTCCTCTAATTTATCTTTCATGTTGCCCCATTTATATAATAGGAATCAATGTATAATGTAACAAAAGGATGTGTTACTCCTTAGTTCATAGCCACTGTGTCCTCAAATTCTTTCAACTCATACAACTCATGGGGAGTGGCCAATGCTCAATTCAGTTGTTTAAATTGTAGCTTTAGTCTCCTTATTCATGGAAAGTCAGCAGTCAGATATTATTAGTGAACTCCCACTCTCAACCTTAATTAATATGTCCTTTCCTTTCATTACCAACTCTCATTATAGACACTGAAAATCCTATTTTCTGAATAGCTCTTTGAAATAATGGATACCTTCACCCTCTGAAGTGGATGAAAGACTGGACGTTAGAAGACCTTTTATCTTAGTCTGTTTTGTGCTGCTATGACAGAATACCTGAGACTGGGTAATATATGAAGAACAGAAATTTATTTCCTACAATTCTGGAGGCTGGAAAGTCTAACATCAAAGGGCTGACATCTGGTGGGGGCCTTCTGCTGCATCATCCCATGGCAGAGGGAAAAAAGGAGGGTGAGGGAAGAAGGCTCAACTTACTCTTTTATAAATCACCCACTCCTGCCATAAGGGCACTAGTCCACACATTGAGGGCAGAGCCCTATGACCTAATCATGTCTTACAGGTCCCACCCCTCAACAGTGTTGCATTGGTATTAAATTTTCAACACATGAACTTTTAAACAACAACACCTTTGCTCAACTCTCCACTAATAACTAGCTAAGAGAATAGGGAAAGAATTGTAAACCTCAGTTTACTATGCCATAAAATGAGGAGCAAAGTTAAACAATACTCATATTCAAAACTATTTGCTAATGGTATAGTTTGAATATTTGTCCCCACCCAAATCTCATGTTGAAATGTAATCCCTCGTGTTGGAGGTGGAGACTGGTGGGAGGTGTTTGGATCATGGGAGCAGATCCCTCATGAGTGACTTGGGCCATCCCCTTAGTGATAAGTGAGCTTTCACACTGAGTTCACACAAGATCTGTTTGTTTAAAAGCATGTGGCACCTCCCCTCTACTCTCTCTCTCTTGCTCCTTCTTTTACCATGTGACATCCCTGCTCCCCCTCCGCCTTCTGCCATGATTGTAAACTGCCTGAGGCTTCTCTAGAAGCCGAGTAGCTGCCAGCTCCATGTTTCCTGTACAGTGTGCAGAACAGTGAACCAATTAAACCTCTTTTCTTTATAAATTACCCAGTTTCAAGCATTTCTTTAGAGCAATGCAAGAATGCCCTAATACAATAAAGCAGTTCTTTTATAAAAGGTCATCTACCCAAATATACATCCCACCCTCACACAATAATACAGAGGTGCAAAGGAGAAGGAACAGAGAAGAGAATTTGTCCATTTCATCCAAATATTCAAACTTATTTTGAATATTTTGAACAAAACTGTTCACAATATCCTTTATTATATTTAATGTCTATTGGATTTGTATTTATAATCTAAATTTTATTCCTGATTACTGATAAGTTGTCAGCTATTTTCTTGTCTGTTTTTCACAGTGTTCAGAAATTTTGTTCATCATTTCAAATATCAATTTGGCTTTGTTATTTTTCTCTAATGTATATTTGGTTTTAATTTTATTTATTTCAGCTCCTATCTCTATTATTTCCTTCCTCCTTTTCTACTTAGTTTGGATTTGGTATTCTTTTTCTTTTTCTTGGGATGGAAACATACATCATTGACTTTTCACCCTCTCTCTTTTTAAATATTTGCATTTAAGGCTATAATATTTTCTCTAAGTAGTGCTTTAGTATATCTGACACATTTTAATGTCTTTTTTAGCATGTTGTCCAAATGTTTTTTAATCTTTGTTTTTCTTTTGTGACTCAAAGATTATTTAAAAGTCCATTGTTTTATATATAGTCATTTAAGGTTTTTAGTTTATCTTTTTGTTTTAGAATTTTAAATTTCTTTTGTCAGAAAAATACTTTAAAAGGGTTGCAACCTATGGTGATTTGTTGAGACTTTGTTTATAAACCAAAACTTGCATTTTTTTTTTTTGTAAATGCCCCATGTGCTCTTAAAAAAAATGTACAGGCCCAGCTTTCAGTAATAGAGGAGTAACTACTGTTGACCATCTACCCTATAGATAAAAACTATAAACTCTGGGAAAAAGAGAAGAACACCTACTTGAGGGCACTGTAGAATAGTCCAAAGCAGGCAGAAACTGAAGAAGTGAATATTTGTGGGAAAAGGAAATGACAGAAAGTAGCTTCCTATTTCATCTAGTTTTTGGTCTTGAATGCAGAAACTGGCTGATTCCAAACAGGATGGCCAAGTCTCAAACAACAATAAAGGCACGATCTTTCTGTCTTGAAGAAATAGTGGACAGAACTCTAGATGACAACAGAAGAAAGAAGTAAGACAGGTGAATCTTAGAAAATAGACATCCAGAAAAAGAGAGTCCCCAGTTCAGAATATAAACTCTATCCAAATCTTAAACTGACCCTTAAACTCTGTAAACACAGGGCAAACTCCAAGCAGCCCAAATAAGGCTTTAAAAAATTGTAAATAGAAGTCTGTACCCTCTTCCCCTAATCCCTGGAATCTGTGAGTGTTACCTTATGTGACAGTCTATGTAGTGATTAAGTTAAGGCTCTCGAGATGGAGAGATTATCTTGGATTATCCAGCTGAGATCGCCCTAAATGCAACCACATGCATCCTTATAAGAAGGAGGCAATGGGAGATTTTACTACACAGAGCAGAAGGTAATGTGAAGATACCACAGAGAGAGATTTTGGGATGCTGCCCTTGAAGATAAGCAAGTGATGCAGCCATATGCCAAGCTGTCCCAGCAAACACCGAAAGCTAGAAGAAGCAAGCAAATGAGACTCCTGCAGAGCTTCTGAAGGGAATACAACCCTGCTAACGCTTAAATGTTAGCCCAGTGATACTGAGTTGGACTTGTGGGTCTCCAGAACTTGTGGGTCTCCAGAATCGTGAAAGAGTAAGTTTTTGTTATTTTAAGACATTTTGTTGTTTCAAATAATAGAGTAAATTTTTATTGTTTCATTGTGGTCACATTATGTTATAGTAACCTTAAGAAACCAGTACAAGAATTTAGCAGAGATTTCAGCAGCTGCTTGTCCAAGGGGAGACAGAGTTTGGAGTTGAGTGCAACCAAGTTAACTGTCTCCTAAAACAAACAAACCAAAACAATTAATACTCTTACAAAAAAAAAATACCACATACACACAACAGAATCCAGGACTCATCATCATAGTGTCCCAGATATACTTTAAAATTTCCTGCTTCACTCCTCTCCACTTCATCCCCTCTCCTCCAAAAAATAGGAAAATGTGATTCATATTCAAGAGAAAATTCAGATATTATAATCACAGGCAAGGTTTTAAAAACTGCTATTATAACCCTGTGTAAGGCCAAAAAGGAAAATATGTCCATAGTGAAGATTTTCCCCAGTAAATTTTCTGCACACAAATCTTAGCTTCTGCTTCCTGGGTAACCCAACATAATACAGTAAATTATATATGCTCATTATAGAAAGTGTGAAAAACTACAAGTCTTAATAGTTGGAATGAAATCCCCCCAAAGACTGACAAGTTATTGTTTGATGTTAGTTTACTAGGCTTTTGTAATTTTGCAAATTTCCTCTGAATTTTCATGGGTGTTCCAATTGAAGGCTGACTAGTTGCAGTAAATACCAGAAGACAGGCTTTTAAAATTCATCCTTCTCCTGTTCCCTTTTTAGCAAGTATCGTCTATATATCTTATATGTCCAACATCCATTTCTCTACAGACTTCCCCTTATTATACAAACATGTTCAAGTTTTTCTCATGGAAAGTGATTCTGACCCTGCCTTTCCCTCTAATTACAGTAAGAGACCCTGAGAACTAAACATTTTCCACTGTGATCCTCACATGTGGCTTTCTCATCATTTTTCAATTTTCTCCTTATTTTTTTACCTAGTTCTCTAAGAACTCAAAAGCTCCCTCCTCAAATATTCTTTTTCGGACTATCTCTCACTGTTGATTTTATTAAAAATTGCAGAGCTAATTTTTGACTTTCTTATCACTTTTTCTTCTCTGTGATACTACAAATTCTTACGGTACCAACTTCATCCTATAAGATCATCTTTCTATATCCAACCTTGGATATACTCTGCACTTCAGATTCATACATCCATTCCTCTAGTAAACATCTTTATCTAGTTGATTCAAAATCATGTCAAATTCAAAACGTCCAAAACTAACTGATTACTTGAGTACAATTTACAATGGAGCATTGTGACAACAGCACCACAATATGCCTAAGAGGAAAAAAAAGGAAGTACAGATGACACTTGGGTGAACACTTAACTATTCTTAAAGTAAAAATTGTTTATTTTCAGGGAAATGAAGATGTAAGATGGCATTCCTAGTAAGAAAAAAATATAAAAAATTTATATTGTAAAATAGTAAGGCATACTCGAGCATTGAGAGGAGTCGATTGTGATTAAATCATAAGCATTAAGAGGATGAAAAATAATTAGAAACTGCAGGGGCCTTCTCATTAATCCTTAAGTAAATGAGGAGAACTCCAGTTGTAGGGCCTTTGTACTTTCTGATTTCTCTCCTGAAATGCTCTTCTGTTTTCTGCATGAAAACATTGTTCAGATTTTTATTAAAATATTTCTTTCTCAGTGAGCCCATTCCTAACCATCTCATTTAAAACTCACTTTCACCAATCCCCATCCCAGATCTCTCCATCCCCTTTCCTACTTCCAATTTCTCAATGGCATTTTCCATTACAGTATGTGTTCTGTGTTCATTGGGTTTATTGCCTATCTTGTAGAATATAGTTACCTACCCCTTCTCCAGAACTTAAGCTTCATAAAGTAAACAGTCCATAGGGCGTGATAGGTACTCAATAAATATTTGTTGCCTATAAAAAAAGAAAATTAAAGAATTAGGAACACAAACAAAACAGAGCACCCTTAATGCCATTCTTTTTGCTTGACTCTGTCTTCACACCTGTTTTTCTCTCAACCTGGACATGATTCCTCCCTCTTCCCCACCTAGACTGTTTTCAACCAGGTCAATTCCTGTTTGCCCGCCAAAATTTTGTCAGAAGTTATTTCTTTCGTTAAGCTTTCTCTATCCCTTCTTCCTACTCCCATGCCCAGATATAACCACTTCCTCTTCAGTACTTCTACACTTTACACATAAATTTATCATGATACTATAAAATTTTGTTGTAGGCATTTATTGATATATTTCTGTTCATTGCAAATAACAGCTCCTTAAGGCAAAGGCTATATTTTGTTTATTGGGTATCCTAGTCAGAACTGAAAAAAAAAGTTACTTCTGTCTACTTTCAATTATATGTCATTTGAGATGCCTACAGAAAAAGTGTCATATGAATTAGGTATTTGTAAACAAATGAAAATCAACTAGATAAAGGATAAGAAATAGCATACATGTATTTTTGTAGTGACAACTTACTTTGCTTTTAGTTTCCTTATTCTCATGTGAAATAGCAGAGATTTTTAAGGACCATATCACCAGTTTCTCACTATAGAAAGAGCAGCTGTGTCACTTTTTATCTTCATTATGTGTTAACTTGATGCTCTCGTAACTTTAAATATGAAAATACGGCAAGTCACAGGTTAAAGCACCAAAAATTCTAAATCCACCTAGACAAGTAGAAAATATGTAGAATTCAAACTTTAGGACTCTGAATTCCAGCTTGTTGTTTCTGAAGAAAATGAGATCTTCCATTGTCTTGTTCTGTTGCCATTCCTTTGAGTCTTCAGTAATATTATGAGGAACATAAACCACAAATATCTCAACACACAAGGAAAGCAAAAAGCACAGCTTGAGAAACTATTGCCTATTTCCAGTAAATCTAAGCATTTAGCCACCACTGAATTTTCAGTTAAGAAGCTCTACTTAAAAGAAAACTTACTTACACTTTAGGTAGACATAATAATTCCCTTTCTCAAGAAGCTGTACCATTTGGCATTGAAATAAAATTGGATCAAAGCCTGGACTTGCCTCCACCTGTTGGTCTAACTAAAGGGAGTTAACTGATTAGATATAGACATATATATTTATCGCATATATTGCTGGAAGCTGCCTATCATACCTCTCCAGTATAGCTGAATGTCTCAATTTTTCCTATATTGCTACTGCTCTTTACAATCTTATTATTCTACATTAGGTGGATTGTTCTTATACTATCAAAAATCCCATTACTGACTAGTAAATTTCTAGTAAAAACACTAACCTAAGTCAGGTTAGTTACAAAAAGAAAAACACACTATAATGATTTATTTAAACTGTAGTCTTGAAAATGATATGAGATGCTAAAGTTTTTCATGTGTGCCACAATTCTTTGGAAAAGCATAATGGAATTGATAGGAGATGCAGGGTTGTTGGAACTGGAATTACTCCACCCTTAGATGCTTTCTCACTTTAAAAGTCCTCTCTCAACTAAGTCCTCCCCTATTTAAAACTCTCGAATGGCCGGCCCTACATTACAGTGTTAATGTCCAATTATTTTTTATTATGTATGATCTGACCCTTCCCCACTTCTCTGACATCATCTCAAGCCATTCAGCACTTTGCTTACTATGTTGCAGCCACACTGGCCTTCTTTCTGTTCCTCAAATTTGTCAAACTCAGTTGCTGTTCCTTTTTTTGAAAAGGGGTCTTCTCCTGGTTCTTCACATGCCTGGTTATGATTTTTGAACTCTAGTATTAAATAGCACTTCTCAGAAAAGACTTCCCTGACAACACTACTAAGCAGAGGTGCACAGCCTACTGCATGCTGAGGCCCAGGCCATCATTGTTCAGCCACTAACTGAATCCCTGCGGACCCTAACAATACTGTAAAACTAAACCATGGGTTTTGACCAGATGCAACAAAAGAAAATGGAAACTTCCTACCAGTCCACTTTTATGCTCTCCTATATCCCTCCTCTCTACTTTTGTGATGACAATAAAGCAAATCAGCAACAATTCCTGCAATATTAAACGCCAATTTTTTTAGATTATTTTTTCAATGTCCAATTAGCTGCTCAAATTCAAAATCAAGAAGTCATCCTCCATTCCTCCATTTCACTCACTCATCTAATTCATTCATAATTCATATTAATCCTCTTCCAGATTATATTCTAATGTATCATCAGTGCTGTCACTCTGATCAAATCTACCAACAATTATCTTTCTGGAGTCCTAGTGAAATAATTTGCTAATTGATTTCCCTCCTTCCACTCATGTCTCCCAGCTGTTTGCTTTACTCAAACAACCAGAGTGATCATTTAAAAGTAAAGTTGATATTATATTACTCCCTCCTTTGAAACCCTTTAATAGCCTTGAATTCCAGCTAGAACATCCAACTCTTTTTCATTACATATGGTCTGGGGCCTCCTCACCTCTCTGACTTCATCTTAAACCATTCAACACTTTTCTCACTGTATTCTAGTCATACTGGCCTTCTTTCTGTTTTTCAAATGTGCCGAACTCAGTTGCTGTCCCTTTTTATAGAAGACCTTTGCCTGGTTCCTCATGATTGGCTATTTAAGATTTTTCAAGTCTAATCTTAAATGTCACCTCTTAGAGAAGACTTTTGTGACAACACTATTAAAGTATCTTCACTATCACATCACACTGTTGTTTTCCTTTCCTAACACTTTCCTGTAGGAAAAAAACTTGGTATTTATTTGTTTATTTGTATATCTCTTTTCTCTCTCTTCAAGAGCATATGCTCTATGAGAACAGGAACTTACGTGCTTAGCAGATTTATTATTTATTATTTATTATTATTTTTTTTTTGAGAGGGAGTTTCACTCAGTCACCCAGGCTGGAGTGCAGTGGCACGAACTTGGCTCACTGCAACCTCTGCCTCCTGGGTTCAAGCGATTCTCCTGCCTCAGCCTCCCTAGCAGCTGGTATTACAGGCATGCATCACCAAGCCTGACTAATTTTTGTATTTTTAGTAAAGACAGGGTTTTGCCATGTTGACCAGGCTGGTCTTGAACTCCTGAATTTAGGTGATCTGCCCACCTTGGCCTCCCAAAGTGTTGGGATTACAGGCATGAGACACCACGCCCGGCCTCAACAGGTATTTTAGAATAAATAAATAACAATAATAACACATGACTATTTTAAAAATATATATATATCCATGGCAGGCAGTAATGAAAGAACAATTTTGGTGAGCACTCACATAGTCACAAACTGACAACTCCCCACTGGATGAACTGTCCTATAGAGTGGTCCAGTCAGAGCCAGGGTAGGCTGCTTGGTTATGCTCCAAGGTAGGCTCAAAGGAGTTAGCACTGCAGTGATACAGTCAGTCCATTTAAGCAAAGCTTTCTAATGCTTTTACATCAAATAACTTGGTGGTTTACTTACTAATGTTGGTAATTTATTAATTCCCTTCACATAATAGAAATACTCTCATAATTCTGCTTAGGTACCCAAACTTTATTTTCCCCTACACACACATAATTTCCCTAAACTTGGAATAGGTAAAATTTTTACACCAATCAGAAGAGAGGAAGAGTTATAAAGTTACTCAATTAAGCCATAAACTGACCAGATTATAGAGCAGAGTCACAAGGTTGAGTCTGGAGATACTCACTTTAATTTATAACTACTAATTATTAATGAAAAACATTTCTAGAAACAACTTATTCAGAGAAGGTGGTTTGTCTAAGAGATTAAACTATAGTTCTGCTACAAAAAAAGTTGATTATTTATTTATTTATTTATTTTTAAGAGACAAGATCTCACTTTCTCACCCAAGCTAGAGTGCATAGCTCACTGCATCCTTGAACTCCTGGGCTCATAGAATCCTTCCACCTCAGCCTCCCAAGTGGCTGAGACTACAGGTGTGTGCCACCATGCCTGGCCTGAAATGACTATTTTCAGAAAACTAAGGGACATGTCTTGCTATAGAACTGTGGATATGGTGCTCATGTCATGTATTTTCAAATGTAGGCTCAATTTCAAAAACCTTATTTAAAACTAGATTTATGGAGGTTTAGGGTGACTGTCTGAATCTGAATATTTTTACACGCTGTCTCAAAAAACATAAGAGCAACAAGGAAGGCAAATAAAATCACATATGACCCAAGTATTCAGCATTATTAAAAGTAAAAGGATACTAAAAGAGTCAGATTAGGTGTAAATAAATAAACACCCAATTTCTGACAGAGTTCCCATGGCTGTTGCATACCTGCAGGTATGGATGATAGGAGAGGGGAGGCTTAAGAAAGTCCATGAAAAGAGGACAGAGTAAATATATGCATTAAGGAAAAAGTATTCCTAAGGGGGCAAGAAAAGGATTCAGCAGCAAATGCACAAGTATTGGCCTGATACTTGGTAATTCACATTACTACAGGAAAGATACTTGAAAGTGAGAACTGCAGTGACAGCCTGAGAGAAGAACTACTTCTAGGGAAGAGAGATAAACAGAGAAGGGTGATGCCTCTTGGGAAAATATGGTAGTAGAGGAAAACAAAAATACAAAGAGGAGGGAATTAACAATCTTGCAGAAACAAAAGGAGAAAAAATAAACCATCACCAAAATAAACATAAGGAACCATTAACAAAACTACATTTCCATAAACTAAGAGATAGCTTTCAAACAAAGAATCTTGTCCTTTAGATGCTCACAAATAGAAATAAATCAAACAAATTTTATATATGGCATTGAAGTAAGAAAACAGGAGGTGTGAATCAAGATTTCAGTTGAGGAAATTTCTCCTTAAAAATAAAACAAGCCACAAAGCAGAATAAACCTATAACACAACACTTAAGTCTTAGTTTAAAATCCTCAAACAGGAATTTGAAGGTATTTTTAGAAAATACAAAAATTAAAAATGCGAAAGCTAAGAATACAAATGGTCCCAAAAAAAGCACCATCAACAAAATTTCCACTGAAAGAAAGCAACAAGAGTTTAGTAAATTACATAAATCATATTAGAAAAGAAGGATAAATTACCAAATGTTCAAGGGATAATAGATTTAAATGGAAATTTAGTAAGGAGCATTGAGGAAAGAGGGAAAGAAAAGAAACCACAAAAATGAAGTGAAATAAAGAAGTAAACACGTTTAGAGAGATAGTAGGTGATATAGAAGACAAAGAAGACCTAACACACATATAATTAGAAACCCAGAAGAAGGAAAGCAACACAATCAACAGAAATAATATTTAAAACTATAATCTAACAAGACTTTCAAAAGAAAACTTTAATTTAAAAACTGACTGCCCATTGTGTACCTGGGAAAACTGACCCAGAATAATAACTCTGAGACATATCCTAGTAAAATGATTAGGTTTTATGAGACAAAAACAAAATCATCAGCATCTGCAGATAAAACAAAATTATAAGGATTAAAAAAAGTAGGCTGGTGCCAGAATTTTCATAAGCAACATAAAAAGCAAGGTCACATTAAAAAAAAAATAAGCACACTTTTTAAAAACCTAGAGAAGGTGTGAGAAAAATATTTTATATGCAGCCAAGTCATCCTTCAAATAACAAGCTTATGAAATAAATAGCTTTGAATTAAAAGAAACTCAAGGTGTATTATTTTCGTGCTCTTCATGAGTAGTCTATCACAAGATAAACTTCACCAAAACAGATGCCTGGGGAAGCTTATACAAAAGGACCAAAGATGAACATTTAATGTGTTTAACTGTAGAACTAACACTAATACAAAGTTGATATGTGAATGAAAGAACAGTGTGTAAGCATTACATATACTGACAAAGTAGAAAGAACACAACTAATAGATGGAAGGAGAAAAGAAAGAGAAAGGAGAGAGTGGAATAAGAGCATTGACTGTAAAGGTGATAGGCGGGAGTCAAAGAATACCATGTACATTTCACAAACTGCAGAGTAAAACATTAAGGAAGAAATAAGGTTATTAAAGGCACTTAAAGGTGTGCATGAATAGGTAGTAGATAATACAAATCACAAGACTTTCTAAATACAAAAGGAGATTTTCAAATAAAGGAAATAAAACTCCATAAATACAGAAAGGCACATAGTAAATATAACATAATAGACACAATAATTATAACATAATATGACAGAAACCAACATAATTATTGTACCATTGAATATAAATAGGCTTTACTCATCTACTAAAAGAAAGCTCCTTTTGAATTGGCTCATAAAGCAACTCAACTCTGCTGTGCACAAGAGACACACATAAAACATAATAATTCAAATGTGCTAGAAATAAAGGCATTAGCAAAGCTATATTAGGCAAATGGGAACAACAAGGAAGCAGGAATTGTGTTTCTGACATTAAAGTAAAATTCAGGGCAGAAAGTATTAAATGAGAAAAATGGGCACTTTAAAATATTAAAAGCCACAACTTACAATGAAGATATGAAAGTTATGAATATCTAAGCACTAAGTAATACTACAATCACTTAAAACAAATGAGAGGAGATATAAAATAGAAACACTATATTTATTTGATTTTAATGTATTACTCTCAGTGTAAGACAGGTAGAAGAAAAAAAGGATTAGAGAAAATGTAAATAACATAATCAACAATATAGGTCTTATGGAGCTATATCAAACATGACACTACATAGTGATATGGAGTATAGTTTCTTCTCAAGTACACATGGACTAGTTACAAAAAGAAATCATATGTTAGATCATAAAGAAGAAGGCTGCAACTTTCATAAGTTGAAACAATGACAACACACTCTAGTTACAATGTAAAAGAATGAGAAATTAAAATAAAAATGGCTTTTTCACACAGAAATAAAAACTGTCCACTAAGTAACTCTTGGATAGAAGGGGAAACACAAACAGAAATAACAAAATTTTCTGGAAAAAAAGAATGATAAAAAACTACCTATTACAATCTGTGGGATATATTTAAAGAAAAATTAGAGAACTCAGAAACTTAAGCATTTGTTTCAGGGGTCAGAAAACTACTGGTCACAGTAGTGGTGAACTCTAACTCACTGTCTGTTTTGTATGGCCTACAAAAAGTGTCATACTTATTCATTTAAGCATATTCTGTGACCGTTTTTGCACAACTGCAAAGTGGAGTAGTTGTGAGAGACTGTATGGCCCGCAAAACATAAAATATATGTTATTTATAGGCCCTTTACAAAAATAGTTTGCCAATTCTTGCTCCATATGTATCAATAGAAGATAGATGAATTGTAAATAAATAAATTTCCCATTCAAAAAGTTTTAAAAAGTAAGCCAAAATAAGCAGAGTGAAGAAAATAATGGAGATAAAAACAGAGATTAATGAGGTAGTGAACAGAAAACAGTCTTTCAGACAAAAATCTTGATTCTCTAAATAAGTCAACAAAATAGAAAAAACACTAGCTAATTGAGTAAAAATAAAGGAAAAGAAATGGCAAAAATTACTATTGATATATAGGAGAAATATATATGTAATATATATCGATCATATATTATATATGTAATATATATTAATCATACATAATATATTTTATAAAATATATAAATATATAAAATATAAATATGTATTATATACATGATTAACATAAAATTAACATAAAATATATATGATACATATATATCTTTATAATGTATGTATTGTAAAATAACTAAATTTAGATATATGTTGAAAACTGAAAATACAGCAGATAATTTCTTATGATAATACAGTTTATCAAAATTGTCTCTGGTAGACAACATATTCATTTCCATAAAAGATATAAAGATCCCTCACACCCATTAGGATGACTACTATTAAGTAACAAATAGAAAATAAAAATAAAATTGTTGACAGATGTGGAGAAATTCGCATCCTTGTGCACTGTTGGTGGAAATGTAAAATGGCATAGCCACTGTAGAAAAAGTATAGTGATTTCTCAAAAAATTAAAATAGAATTACCATATGATCCAGCAATTCCACTACTGGATATATATCTGAGAGAATTGAAAGCAGGGTCTCAAAAGATATTTGTATACCCATGTCCATAACTATTGTCCTAATATATTTGGGCTACTGTAACAAAATATCATGGAGTAGGTGGGCTATACGCAATAGAAATTTGTTTCTCCACAATTCTGAAAACAAGGAGAGACAATGTTGTAATTTCTATTTCAACAGTCAGTAGGCTTGAGAACCAAGAATACCCAATGCTTCAGTTTGAGACCAACGTCCCAGCTCCAAAACGTTCAGGCAGAAGTTCCTGCTTTCGCTCGGGAGATTCAACCTTTTTGTTCTAGTCAGACCTTCAAGTGATTGGGTGAAGACCACCATATTATCATTCTACTGATTTGAATATTAATCTCATTCAAAATTACCCTTGCAGACACACCCAGAAAAATGTTTGACTAAATACCTGGGCATTCTCTGGCCCAATCAAGTTAATGCATAAAATTAACCATCACATTCAGCAAAAAAAGTGTCAGTATAGAACTACAAGCCTCCACTCTGTAAAAATTTTAGTTAAGTGATGGTTTGGAAGAGGTGGAGGGGAAGAATGTGGGAGATTTGAGAGGAAACAAAAGAGAGTTAAATCTTCAGCTCTTCAGATGTTTAGAAAATAACTCATAGATGACAGATGATTTGTAAACATACAATTTACAGTTTTGAGAATTAATACTAGAAAAACATATCAAAAGAGTTGCAAATGGCTGCCTCAGGGAAACAGAAATTGTGAGTAGGAAGAAGTAGAGCAAAGGGACAACTACTTATAATTTGTCATAGTAATAACTTTTTAAAAATTATGTACCCTCCTAAGAAATTGTTCCTGGTGGAATATTTGAGGAGTTAGTTTAGAGACTATATTAATTGGAATACAAATAAGAGTACCTCATCCTGACACTTAGCATTCACTGACTAATATCTTGGTGAAATTCAGTCTTCTATTTATTTGCCAGGGCAAAAAATATAATTTTAGAAATGTAGGTCTAATAAAGAATACATTTATGTACCCTTCCTGAAAAAAATAATAATACAAACATGGACATCTGGTGGTTGAAAAAATGGATTAATATAATAGAGAAAAGGGTAATCAGGATTAAAAGAGAGATTTTCAACCAGAAAAGAGAAGTAGAGGGATCAGTACATCATCTTGGAAGAAGAATATTATAAACTCCGGAAATTTTAAGACCAAATTATATCACCTGGGAAGCAGAATATTATAAACTCTAGAAATTTTAAGACCAAATTATAACTATAATTTGAAAGACAACTTCGATTTTATAACTATTTTTGTTTTTAATTACAATATTTAATTTAGTTTGAAAAATCAGCTAAACATTTTTAAGTTTTTCAAAAATGTACCTCGATAATACATTTTTTTCTAATCTGAACAACAAACTATTAAAAAAAACTAACAGTGAGCAACAAAAAGTATCTGAATCAGAAACATCAAGTAATGGCCACAGAAGTAGCAGAATCTATTAAATACTGACACTTAATAAAACTTGCTGAAAGGCAATTTTCAATGTCAAGGCTACCACTAAAAGAATACAAACAAGACATATATAATCCAAATCCTGGAAGAAAGACTTCCAGGAAAAGAAAATAGAAAAAAATAAATTTGCAGCCCATCCAATATCCTTCTTTTTTCACCTTATCTTTTCTTGGAATTACTTTGAAGCATGATTGTTAAATAGTTAAGCCAAAACTTTCAACTATCATGAAATATAGCAGAAACCAGGCAACTTGGAATAAAAGAACAATGAGTTCTCAGATTTAAATAGTCTTTTTGGAGTAGCCCCTGTGTGCCAGATTCCTTTAGAAAAGGCAGGATTTCATCACAAATCCTCAAGACGGGTTATCCTTATCCTCATTTTTACAAATGGGAAACTGAAACTCAGAGAAAGCTAATAGCTTGTCCAAGGTCATAAATTTAATGAGTTTCAGGGTTGTGGTTTAAGTCCAGGAATTTAGACTCCAAATTCCACTATTCTCTCAATAACTTCTTACTACAGCTTACTGAACTTCAACAGTGCTCAAGTTGGACAAGTCAACAACTTTTTTCTTTCCTCCTTTGTTGTGCTGACTTTCCTTTTCTCATTGTTTATGCAAAGAATGAAATCAACAAAATTACGTCTGCATTGTGCCTAAGTAAACAGAATGTGCTTACTTACAAGATGGAGTAGCACACATTTGTATTCCATCATGCCTCTGGCATCAATCTCAACAAAAGTGAAAAGAAGGACAATTCTAGCTGCTTCTAAATTTCCCTTACATTCTAGGAGCTGTGCCAAGTGAAATCTTGCAGTTTAACCTAACCAAAAAGAAAAAAAAAAAAAAAGTAAAAGAACAAAAACAAAAACAAAAAGAAGTTTGCACTTAATCTAGTAAGCAAGCTCACACACACTGTTCTATTATTTATAACTAATCCCAATAGTAGCCAATAAATTTCTCATTTTATACTAAAAACTCTAGTTACATAAATTTTTCAGTGTTTCTGAAATTATGAGAATACAACACAAATATCCACTTCCCTCTGAAGAAGGGGAACCAACTGTCAAATTGTCAGTATATGGGTTTCTCCAGAAAAATTCCTATTTTCTGCATAGCACTGGTGATGCTAGGATGGAGGAACAATGCTGCTATGATAGGTTCACCTGTCATCTCTGTAGTCCATCCAACTATCCATCCTAAATAGAAGGTTTGGACATTTGGACAAAACAGGCACTTGAAGAGCTGAGGTATAGCTTTTCTGTTGAAAACATTAATGCTCAACTATATTGAGGAATTTATACCACAAATTATACACTATATACTTACTATATTGGAGAATCCAAAATCCAGGTTGAAAAAAAAAGTAAAAAGTGGAAGGGAAAAAAAAGGAAATGTTTCCAAGCAGAAGTCAAAACCTTTTGCATATATGTAAGTGAAGTCAAGGCATATTTCACATGCCAGTTAAAGTAAAACTTGTTTTATTTGGAAATAACTTGTATTTGCATAATTTCAATGTAAACTTGCTTGGCCATGCCAAGCTTAAAAAATTAATCACTTTGCTCTTCTTAAAAGAGATGAAAAGAGACTTTCATTTTGCATTCACATTTTCTGTGGATTTGTTTTTAAATAAAAGGAAAAGAGATTATCCTAAAGGACTATATATAAAAATATTGCAATTGGAATATTAGTTGAACAATTTTAGAAAATTTAAATACGTTTGGAAAATCCCAAAGAATCCAACTGGCAGTGCAAGTCCCGAACTTTTACAAAGTAAATGAATGCTTCCTTTAACAACTTTCAAAACATTGTCATTTGATTTCTAGCTGAAGTTTTCTAATGACAAGAAACAATGACAAGGGATTTTTTGGCGTAAGATTTCTCCCCTTGCAATTTTGATGAATGAAAATGCTTTACATTGAGTCAAATTCCTCTTTTTAATTTTTACTTATTGATTGTAGATTTGTCTTCTTGACTAATACAAAATTAAACTAATTACTCATCTACTTACCATTGTTCTATATATTTGAATACAACTAGCATTTCTCTTGAATATGTTGTGTTCTACAGTGTAAACACTTGTAGGTCCTTCAGTGCTTCCTCATGTTAACGTGGTTTCCATTTTCTTCCTCATATCACTTAAATTCCATTGGAGGTGCCAGTGTTTGCAGATGTCTCTATTTAAACATGACATCAATTACTAAACATAATATTCCAGATGTATCATGACCACTGAGGATTAAAATTATTTTGCCTTTCTCAGTCTTTGCAATATCTTTAATATTCATGATATATTTATATTATTCTCTAGTCAACTAAAACTTCCTGGCTTTTTTTACCCACATAAACATCTATATCAAGTTCTTCTCATCCTATAATTTATTTTTTTAATTAAAATCATTATTTCTCTGGAATCTAGATTCTATTATCCATTATATTACTTTTCTCTTCCAGTTTTGTGTGATTAGATTTGACAAGTTAGCTTGTGTCACTGTGTTATTGATATAGTGTTAAATAAAAGAAGATCCCTTAAGGTATATCTTAATAGAATATATTTAGAAACAATAGTTCATCTGCTTTTAAAATATTCCTATCTGTATTATCATCTAATGTACATTGCTCTTGGGATATTCTTCAGCAAGATCTTGAGACATTTTGTTAAAATTTCAATGAAAGTGATTCATAGTAATTATATGTAATTCTCCTGACTTAGCAGTCTATTTATCCCAACCCCCTAAAAAGAGTATAATTTAAGTTAATTTACACTTAGTGGATCCATTTTCTAAGTAAATAACACTTTTCATTCCAAATTCTCACAGACCAATTGTCCTGAATTTCCTGTTCTTTTACTGGATGACTTGATTCAGCCTAATTCCATCATTAGCAGAAGACAGTCCATGTGAGTGAGTATGAGTACGTGTGTGCATGTAAAAGACAAATTTGTTTGAATCTATCCATACAATTTTGAACAACTAGTCTCAATCCTGAAAGCCTGAGTGTATCTCTAGGTTTAAGAAATAGTTGAGAATCAATGATATAATTGTCCCTACATTCCTCTGGGTGAAAAGATAAAAATACATGAAAAAGAGGTTTTTAAGGTGTTGGACTGATAAAATAAGTGCCGAATGGCTCTGCAGAGCAAGTTACACCAAGTTTTAATGTCATGCAGACAATAGAAGGAATCATTACATAGTAAATTTAACAACTTACACAGACATTTATGTGAAATTTTTAGTTTCAAAGTAAAGTTTTAATTTTACATAAAAATACACAGTTTAAACAACAATAAAGATATTCTCAGACCATGACATTGACAGCTGTTGACATCATCCACTCCTACATTTTGTTTAGAATTTAAACAAAATGAAATGTGGTGGAGGGGGGGGCTTTTATTTTTCCTGGTAAGTATCAGTTTAGCTATGATAGATTAGGTTAGATTACTCAGAAAAAATGCCTCAAAAGCTTCTAAGTCATAATTGATCTGATACTTGATTAACATTCAGTTCAAAATTAAACTCAGCTATACAAGTAGCCCGCCATGCAGCAGGAGCAACATCCTTGCACAAAAGGAGTACCCCCGGGAAACCTCCCCACCACCCCTTCCCCACACAGGGAGAAGTCAGGGTAGGCGATGAGGGCATGGGCTGGGCCCAGAGATCCAGGACAG
This sequence comes from Homo sapiens, assembly GCF_000001405.40. Taxonomy (NCBI): domain Eukaryota; kingdom Metazoa; phylum Chordata; class Mammalia; order Primates; family Hominidae; genus Homo; species Homo sapiens. The sequence continues at coordinate 40,669,875 of NC_000012.12, read as the reverse complement.
CAGCAGCCAGAAGATTGGCTGAGTCTTGCAGTCAGCTGTGGGAATGGTGCTCTCTCTTCTGGCCGTCATATTGCTCCTCACCAGGACCCTCTTCAGTGGGCTTTGCAGAAGGAGACAGGAAGGAGAGCCATTGCAGTACCCACAGATTTGGGAGTCCATTACATAGCCTTGGCTCCAGATTCCTAAGACTAAGCCATACTCAGCAAAGCAGGGCTTTTTGTCTCCTTTGATCCCTTCCGTGTCCCCATATTCCAGAATCTTTGTGCCTAGCCCAGAGAATATGTTTGATAAATGTTTGTTGAATGTATCAGTTGTGATATCTTTATACTGAGTTAATGAAAAACCCTACTCCACATCTATAATATTCCTTATTTCTTCCTACTCTATTTTTCTTTTAAAATATAAATAATATTAATAATAGTAGTTAACGTTTGTTGAGTGTTATATGCCAAATACTGTTCTGAACACTTCACATGAGTTAACTCATTTACTGAAGCAAATTAAATAAGCTTTCTTGGCTCTTCTCCCATTGCATATTTTATGATCTGAATTTCACTCTCAGATGTTGCTACTTTGACTACAAAATGTCCTCCACTGGAAAGCACTTCAATTTTCCCAACTTCACATCCAGACCCTCAACCAGCCTCCCCGAGTCCTGGCAAACCAGAAAGATAGCTATACCAACTGTCTTTCTTTATTGTGTCAATATTGAAGGAATCATATAAAAATTTAGTTGAAGATTAAAAAAAATGCCAACCAAAACAGATTCTATTTGTAAGTATGTTGTTTATACATTTCAGATTTTGACAATATGAAACGGTCTTCAAAAAGAATCACACTTTGTAGGGTAAGTTCCGAACTTAATGATTTATGCCAGTCATATATGGTCTCTGCCTTCTAATTAGTCATTCTCTGGCACTTCCCTATGTCTTTGCAGGTGTTGTTTCTCTCTGAATGAGATGACCTCTTGACAAACATACTTCTTCACAAATTCTTATTCATCTATAAAAATTCAGCTTAGCTGTTACCTCTGTAGGATGCTTTCCCTGATTAACTGACATCTCCCTTCCACATGTTACTTCTGCCTGTTGTTTCTCCTTCTTACACTGCCCTTAACCTGTTGTACTGCTAATTGTACCCTAAGCTGGAGTCCTTGACAGTTTCTCCAGACTTTAGCATGGTAATATGTGTTTGGTGCTCATTAAAGCTTTAATAGATAAATGAGGGAATTAATAAAGAAGATTCATTGCCAAATAATAATGAATTTTTCTTTTACCCTTGTTAGAATGAATGCTAACTATGCATTTTCCCAGATACTGTATAATGACAAGCCTCCTTCAGCCCAACATTATTTTTTCCACAAGAATTCTCTCGAGGCAGCTTTCAATTCCATCTTCCTGACACTCTCTTAAGTCTCCAAAGGCTAGATCAGTTAATGTGTTCATGATGAAAAATGTTTGGAAAGAATAGAAGTAATAGCAAATATGTTTCCTTTGTGGATGCCTTCATTATCTGCAGCCACAGCTCAGACACAGCCAGTTCTAGGCTTCTATAGTAATCCTATTCTGCTCCCTACTGTCACTAAAGCTACATAGGACACAACAAGAGGGGTAAAAGGGCAGCTTTCTCTTCCCCACTTCAGTGCATTTATTGCACTGCAATATATTTGCACATGCCAAAAAAAGCCAAGAGGAAACTTCAGTAAACACTGTGAAACATCTGAAATGATTTCAGTTTAATAACTTACATAAGCCTGGATAAACATTTAATGTGAACTCTTAAAGGTCAAACTATTTCCCTCTTGTGAAATTCATTAATAATCTTTATATAACGATTTCATAAGCTAGCTGCAAATATGTCAAATTTGTTCTAGTTTTAAATTTTCTTCTTTTATCTTATCCTTACCTTCTTTCTAGCACTAGACTGACTTCCTAAAGTACAACACTGATTGTGTCATTCCCTGGATCAAAAGCTTTTAGTAGAATCTCATTGTTATGAAACAACATACAAGAGTATTCATGGATACTCTAGGGCCTCCAGGTATCTTATATTTCACCTTTCATTTACGTGTACCTTGTTTTTCCAGACGAATGATTCTCCTTGCTATTCCTAATTCTTTGTTCTCTGCCAAGTAGGTCTGTCTTCTGAACTCCCTAATCATTTTCTACCTTTCTTTATTGCATGGTTTACATATTATCTCATTTAACATTAACAGTTTTGTGTGCATACATGAGTAAACATATGTACACAATTTAGATAAATGTTACCTTTGTGTAGACGTGGTTTCTTGTTTCTGTCCTCTACAATTCAGAACATAACAAATAGTAAGTAGTCACTAAGTGTACATTGAATAAAATAATAAATATATTTCCTAATAAAACCTCCATCCACCATTCTGGTTAGGCATAAAGGTTTTTAATCTCATAATTCATCTTCCACCCTTCAGTTGTTTTTCCACATGTTGCTTCTTAACTAACAGTCAGTAGAAGGTTGCAGAAACCTTGCTTGACTGAAAAATCTCCTCCCTCTCAGAGACTGTCACCGCCTTCCGACATTGCTTCTTGCTTGTGCTGTTCTTTCAATAATGTGGATATTCAAAACCCTCAAAACGGGAAGAATGGATAAGACACATTTTCATAATTACATCGGTGTGGAACTATTACAGACTATGCTGATAGTTTGCAAACCTAAACTCTGGTACTTCACTTTCAGATCCAGAAAATTCCAAATCATGGCAATTTTAGAAATGGTCCATAGAATGGATTGCAGGTCCAATTATGGCAGTCATTTAATCCCTGAAATCACAGTGATGCATTTGCATATTTGAAAGTCAGTATCATTCTTACACACTAACAGTGGTGTATTCACGAACATGAGAGATCATATTCCACTCTCTTGCATCCTTAGAGAGGTCACAGTTTTGTACTTTCATTTCTAAAATGCAATTCATGGACTTAAAATATATTCGCTGACTTCTCTTAAACAGTGTCTCAGGACAAACTACTACTTTGCATGTTGCCTTTGAGATACAGCAGAATTTATCTTTTCATGAAGATTCTGTGTGTCATATATGTATGTATGGTGGGGTTTGGATTGAGATAACTCTTTAAGGGAACCTTTTAGATATGCAAATGTAGGTGTATTCTAGAACAGAGGCTTTTTCCATACAGGCATAACTCAGAGATATTGTGAGTTTGGTTCCAGATCACCACAATAAAGTAAAGATCACAATAAAATTGACATGGAGTTTTTGGTTTTCCAGTACATATTAAGTTATGTTTATATTATATTTTGGTCTGTTAAATGAGGAACAGCATTATCTCAAAAATTAATGTACAGATCTTAGTTTTAAAAAGATATTATTGCTAAAAACTGCTAATAATCATCTGATCCTTCAGTGAGTAGTCATCTTTTAGCTTGTGGAGGATGTTGTCTCAATGTTGATGGTTAATCAGGCTGGTGGCTGCTAAAGGGTGGGGTGGTTGTGGCAATTTCTAAAAATAATGCAACAATGAAGTTTGCTAAATTGATTAACTCTTCCTTTCATGAAAGATATTTTTTCTGTAGCATGTGTTACTCTTTGATAGCATTTTACTCACAGTAGAACTTCTTTCAAAAGAGGAGTCAATCCTCTCAAACCCTGACATTGCTTTATCAACCAAGTTTATGAAATATTCTAAATCTTTTGTTGTCATTTCAACAATACTCACAGCGACTTCACCAGGAGTGGATTTCATCTCAAGAAACTGCTTTATTTGCTCATCCATAAGTAGCGACTCCTGATCTGTTACAATTTTCTCATGAGATTGCAACAATTCAGTCACATATTCAGGCTCCACTTCTAATTCTAGTTCTCCTGCTATTTCCATCACATCTGCAGTTACTTTTCTGCTGAAGTCTTGAACCCCTCAAAGTCACCCTAGAGGGCTGGAATCAACCTCTTCACAACTCTTGTTAATGTTGATTTTTGCGCTCCTCTGATGAATCATAAATGTCCTTACTGACATCTAGAATGGTGAAACATTTCCAGAAGGTTTGCAATGGACTTTTCCCAGATCCTTTAAGAATCACTATCTCTTGCAGCTATAGCCTTACAAAATACATTTATTAAATAATTAGTCTCGAAAGTTGAAATTACTCCTTGATCCATGGCTGCAAAATGGATGTTGTGTTAACAGCATGAAAACAACATTAATCTCCTTTTACTTTTTCATTAGTGCTCTTGGATAACCAGGTGCATTGTCAAATGAACTGTAATATTTTTAAAGAAATCTTTTCTGAGCAGTAGGTCTCAATACAGGGCTTAAAATATTAAAACTATGCTGTAAACATACTTGCTATCATCCAGGCTTTGTTTTTCTATTTACCAGCTCAGGCAAAGTAGAGTTAGCATAATTTTTAAGGGTCCTAGAATTTTTAGAATGGTAACAGAGTAAAGTCACCAGCTGCATTGCTTTGAACCCAAGCATTGAATTCTCCATTTTAGCTTTGAAAGTCCTACATGGCATTTTCTTCCAGTATAAGGCTGTTTTGTATACATTGAAAATCTGTTGTTTAGTGTAACCTCCTTCATTAATGATCTTAGCTAGATTTTCTGAATAAATTGCTGCAGCTTCTTCATCACCACTTGCTGCTTCACCTTGCACTTTTATATTATGGAGATGGCTTCTTTCTTTAAGCACCATGAAACAACCTCTCCTAGCTTCCAACTTTTCTTCTGCTGCTTCCCCACCTCTCTCAACCTTCATAGAAAGGAAGAGAGATAGGGCCTTGCACTGGATTAAGCCTTGGCTTAAGGGAATGTTGTGACTGGTTTGATCCTCTATCCAGAGCAGCCTAACTTTCTTCGTATCAGCAATAAAGGCTGTTTTGCTTTCTTATCATTTGTATGTTCACTAAAGTAGCACTTTTAATTTCCTTCAAGAACTTTTTCTTAGCAATCACAACTTGGCTAACTGTTTAGCACAAGAGGCCTTGCTTTCAGCACATCTTAGCTTTCTACTTGCCTTCCTCACTAAGCTTAATCCTTCTAGCTTTTGATTTAAAGTAAAAGGTGTGTTTCCCTTCCTGTCACTTGAACATGTAGAGGCCATTGTAGAATTATTCATTGGCCTAATTTTAATATTGTTGTATCTCAGGGAATTGGGAGGTTACAGGAGAGGGAGAGAGATGGAAGAAGAGCTAGCTGGTAGAGCAGTCTGAACACACCTAACATTTATCAATTAAGTATCAATTAAATCTTATATCTGTGCAGTTCATGGCAACTCAGAACAATTATAATAGTAACATCAAAGATCACTGATCACAGATCACAGTAGCAGATATAATAATAATGGAAAAGTCTGAAATATTGTGAGAATTACCAAAATGTGACATAGAGATACAAAGTGAACACATGCTGTGGGAAAAATGATGCCAATAGACTTGCTTCATGCAGGGTTACCACAAACATTTAGTTTACAAAAAAAAAATTGCAATATCTGCAAAGTAGAATAAAGCAAAGCATAATAAAATAAGTTGTACTTGTGTATTGAAATTCTAAAAGCTGTGCATAATGTCTCAAGTTTACACATCTGGACTCTAAGTAAGGAAGGTCTAATGTAAAGTAACATGGTCATGGCCAGGAAATCAGTCTCTGCAGCAGAGTGACATGTATGGGAATTAGGAGAGTGCTGGTTGATCCCTGGAGGAGGGATGTGGCAAGTGAATGTAGGAACAATTATGTCTGCTCTCTGGCAAAAGGGGGGCTGTGAGATTTCCATGCCTCCCATCTGCAGTCTACATTGTAACTTTTTCTGTTATTATGCTTTTGTGTAGTTTTGTTAAACAGTAAACTTTAAAAAGTTGTTGGATGAACATGTTCCCACACGTAGGAGTGCTCCAATGTCCTAGAAGAGTAATATTGACCTTGCAAGCAGTGACATGTTTGGAAGTCCAGAGAAGCAGCTTGAAGTAAAAGATGACAAGTGACATGCAGGAAGCATTTGTAAAAGAAGAGAGAAATATTTAACTGAGAAATATTTGGAAAGAGAAATGTGGTATAAGACAGTATTTCCTATAAATCAAGGAGGATAGAAAAATGCAAACTAGTTGTATTAGTCCATTCTCATGCGGCTATAAAGAACTGCCCAAGAATGGGCAATTTATAAAGGAAAGAGGTTTAATTGACTCACAGTTCCACATGGCTTGGAGGGCCTCGGGAAACTTACAATCATTGTGGAAGGGAAAGCAAACACGTCCTTGTTCACATGATAGCAGGAAGGAGAAGTGCCAAGCAAAGAGGGAAAGTTTCCTTATAAAACCATCAGCTCTTGTGAGAACTCACTTACTATCACAAGAACAGCAGCATGGTGACAACCAGCCCCATGATTCAATTACCTCCCACTGGGTCCCTACCACTACATGTAGGGATTATGGAAACTACAATTCAAGATGAGATTTGGGTGGGGACATGGCCAAACCATATCATTCTTTCCCTGGCCCCTTCCAAATCACATGTCCTCACATTTCAAAACACAGTCATGCCTTCACAACAGTCTCCCAAAGTTTTAACTCATTCCAGCATTAACCCAAAATCCAAGTCCAAAGTCTCATCTGAGACAAGGCAAGTCCCTGTGCATATGAGCCTGTAAACTCTAAAGCAAGTTAGGTACTTCCTAGATACAATGGGTGTACAGGCATTGGATAAATATAGCAGTTCCAAATTGGAAAAATTGTCCAAACAAAGGGGCTACAGGACCCAAGCAAGTCCAAAATCTAGCAGGGCAGTCAAATCTTAAAGCTCCAAAATGATCTCTTTTGACTCCATGTCTCACCTCCAGGTCATGCTGAAGCAAGAGGTGGGCTCCCACAGCTTTGGGGAGTCTCACACCTGTGGCTTTGCAGGGTACAGCCCCCTTTCTGGCTGCCTTCATAGGCTGGCATTGAGTGTCTGCAGCTTTTCCAGGCTTGTGCTGTAAGCTGTTGGTGGATCTACAATTCTGGGGTCTGGAGAACAGTGGCCCTCTTCTCACAGCTCAGCTAGGCAGTGCCCCAGTGGGGACTCTGTGCGGGGGCTGCAACCCCACATTTCCCTTCCACATTTTCCCCAGAGGTTCTCCATGAGGGCTCTGCCCCTGCAGCAGACTTCTGCCTGGACATCAGGCATTTCCATACATCCTCAGAAATCTAGGCAGAGGTTCCCAAACCTCAATTCTTGACTTCTGTGCACCCGCAAACTCGACACCATGTGGAAGCTGCCAAGGCTTAGGGCTTGCACCCTCTGAAGCAACAACCCAAACTATACCTTGACCCCTTTTAGCCACAGCTGGCCGGGACACCAAGTGCGAAGACTGCACAAAACAGCAAGGCCCTGGACCCAGCACACAAAACCATTTTTCCCCAAGGCCTCTGGGCCTGTGATGGGAGGGGCTGCCATGAAGACCTCTGGCATGCCCTGGATACATTTTTCCTGTTGTCTTGGCAATTAACATCTGGCTCCTTGTTTCTTATGCAGATTTCTTCAGCCAGCTTGAATTCTCCTCAGAAAATGGGTTTTATTTTCTATTACATCATCAGGCTGCAAATTTTCCAAACTCTTATGCTCTGCTTCCCTTTTAAACATAAGTTCCCATTCCAAACCATATCTTTGTGAATACATAAAGCTGAATGTTTTTAACAGTACCCAAGTCACATCTTGAATGCCTTGCTGCTTAGAAATTTCTTTTGCCAGATACACTAAATGATCTCTCTCAAGTTCAAAGTTCCACAGATCTCTAGGGCAGGGGCAAAATGCTGCCAGTCTCTTTGCTAAAATAGAAAGAATAACCTTTATTCCAGTTCCAAACAAGTTCCTATCTCCATCTGAGACCACCTCAGCCTAAACTTCATTGTCCATATCACTATCAGCATTTTGGTCAAAGCCATTCAACAAATGTCTGGGAAGTTCCAAACTTTCCCACATCTTCTTTCTTCCACTGAGCCCTCCAAACTATTCCAACCTCTGTCTGTTACCCAGTTCCAAGTTGCTTCCACATTTTTCGGTATCTTTACAGCAATGCCCCACTGCCCAGTGCCAATTTGCTGTGTTAGCCCATTCCCCTGCTGCTAAAAAGAACTGCCGAAGACCAGGTAATTTATAAGGGAAAAAGGTTTAATTGGCTCACAGTTCTGCATGGGTGGGGAGGCCTCATGAAACTTATAATCATGGTGGAAGAGGAAGCAAACACATCCTTCTTCATATCATGGCAGGAAGGAGAAGTGCTGTGCAAAAAGCAAAAAGCCCCTTATAAAACCATTAGATCCTGTGAGAACTCACTTAATATCACGAGAAGAGCAGCATGGGGGTAACTGCCCCATGATTCAATTACATCCCACCAGGTCCTTCCCATGACATATGGGAAGTACAGAAACTACAATTCAAGATGAGATTTTGGTGGGGACACAGCCAAATCATATCACTACTGTTACTAGGATTTTAAAGACAGAAGTGTCAGCACCACACAATATACCCTTGTAATAAATCTGTACATTTACCCCATGAATCTAAAATAAAAATGGAAATTTTTAAGAATCTTGTATGAATGTACCTAATTTTGTTTCTCCATTCATCAGTTGATGGGCATTGAGGTTCTTTCCAAGTTTTGGCTATTGTGAACAGTGCTACTAAGAACATTCATATTTAAGGTTCAAAAAGAGAGAGAAATGGCACAGAAGGCTGAAGAATTTGAAGACATTATATTCTTAAAAGAGTCAAATATAAACAAAATGTTTTCAAAGTATAATAATTCATGGTCAGTAATACTTTATCTTTAATATTTATTTTCAGCACTTTCTCATTATTCAGAGAACTTCAATGTGGCTTCCAGGATCCAGCCATGGATAATTAATGCTGTATTCAGCATACATTTTTTCACTTCTTGTTAGATAGAAGGAATAGTTCAAAAGGAATCAAGTATAATCAGCCAATAACCCCAAACCCTATCTCTTTCTTCTCTACTAAAACTGTCTTTGCCTTCTACACTGAAAAAGAACCATCCCTTAATTAACTGCAAAAGGCAACATTTAAAAATAGAAGTAGAAATAGTCAATTGCAAAAAGTAAAAAATGGAAATAAAGATAATGTAAACAATAATGAATTTTTATAATTATAACTTAAAATAGGGCCACAGGTAAATGGCTACTATTTTCAATGATAGAAAACATTTGGGTTTTATTTTCATTTGTAAGCAATTACACACTTTATATTTTCACTAACTTTACTAGATCCATAACTCTTGACATTTCTCTGACAACTTACATTTAGCTAGTTTTAAATTAATGATCCATTTCAGGGGAGCAATTTTTTACCTGCTGCTCACGTAGAAGACAAAAAAAAATGGTGGTAGAGAATTCATCTTTTATCTTTTAGTTTGGTGTTACTCAATTTCTCCTTTTTACTGACACATATTCTGGGAAAAAAATGCATATCATAACAGCATCGTGTCCATTCCCCACTGGTATCTTTACCACCTCTGGGCATCCCTCACAAACAAAGAATCCGTTTGTTTTCACACATGTAAAGGCTTCCTGTGTGTCAAACCCCTGTCTTTCTGAATATTATTGTTTATGTAGTGGACATTTATTATTCTGGCCTACCTGGCTTTCCCTCCTTCTTATTCTGTAATGTAATTCCTCTTTCCTTTGGGAAATCCATTTCATGTGGTTCATATACATCTTGTCACTCCCCATTAAACAGAGGAGGGAATAGGATCCAGGCCTGGCCAAAATTCCCCCATCTTTGGGGAGCCTCCTGGCCATTGTGACAGGTCCAGGAATATGCACCTGACTCGAGACAGGCCAAGAAGTATCTTCCTTAGAACCGTTCTTCTGGGGCAATCAGAAAAGACCTATTCTGTTGAGGTTAATAGGATACTAAGATATGAAATCGGGCTCTGGTGAGCCATTTGGCCTACCATGCAGCATGAGCCTGTTCAAGAGATGAAGAGTGAGACAGAGTACTATTTAAAATATCTTTAAGTGAGCCACTGGGTCTAGCTGTGACTGAAATTTCAGTGCTTTCAGACTTCTTGGTACGTGAAACAATATATTCTCTTTTGTGAAAAGGCTGTTTTGAGTTGAATTTCTGTCATTTGCAATGGAAAAACACCTGAATAATAAATCTGTTCTTGAATTGCATGGTCTATGTCCTATCCATGGGCCAGGATCTCCTGTTGCTTTATTTTAAAACACCCATCCTGTGAGACTTGCTTGCCCAGAATCCCTAACTGTTTACTTGTGTCCCATGCTATGTTCTTCTTGTTGGACCTACACTTGGGAGTTGCTCCAATTAATGGGCTGGCCTGTCTTCAGAGCCCAGCCCTGCCCACAGTAGATGTTATTAGACCATGAACATCACCAACTATGTTTGAAAAGATTATCATATTCCCCATAAAACAGAGTAACAAGATAAAACTCACTGAATTCCTGTTGACTGCTGTGCTGATAGGTGGTATGTATAACAAAAGAATAATCATACCTGTCATTTTCCAAGAACTATGGAAGAATGCAAAATAAGGTGATCCTCCCATGTCAGCCTCCCATGTAGCTGGGACTACAGGTGTACACCACCACACCCAATTAATTTATCTGATTTTTGGTAGAGATGAGGTCTTTCTATGGTGCCAAGGCTGGTCTCCAACTTCTGAGCTTAAGCGATCATTCTGTCTTGGCCTCCCAAAGTGCTAGGATTACAGGCATGAGCCACCAAGTACTGCTTACACTGTTGTTGTTGTTGTTTTTTTTTTTAATGGCATTTTCTTTTGGTTTATTCCACACATTCTTTAAAACTAGTACTAACATCATTGATTACTAGTTTTTTTGACATTTATATATAGTTAATATTTTTTCTCTTACATGATCATCTTATGTAATAGAAGTGGCTGTTTGTATATTATACATGTTTTAATCTGCCTTCGTGTTGAAAGTAAGAGTAATTTTATTAGTTGGGAGGAAATAGAGACTACACTTCTAGTCTCTGTCTCCTTATGTTACACAGACAATACTAATGCAGGTGTACATATGGATATGGATGTGCATACATCTACAGACGCATATAATGTATATTTTTTCTTAGCATTCTTCTGTATCTTTTGTGGCAATATCTGATTTGAATGCCAAGCGTCTTTGAGATTGCTGCAAATGCCCTGTGATGTTCCCAAGTGGCATTGCTAAAGACATTTGGAGTGTGACTTTAAGTGCCACTGAAAGTTAGATGGCATTCCTCTGTCTGTTTCCCTCCCTTCCATCTCTGTTGAAAGGAGTTTGCAAATGTTGACTCTTAATCGTAACATCCTAGTAGAAAAAGCTCTGGCTTACCCAAAAACCTAGACAAATCATTTGACTTTATTTTGCCTCAGCTTTACTCTGTCTGAAAGGCTGAGAAAATATTTGGCTCCTCCTAAAATATAGTGAAAATTAAATGTCATGTGAAAGGATTTGGAAGTTGCATGGATAATTATGAAATAAAATTATTATCACTATTCATCTTTGCATTTCTACTCAGACTAGGAAAGATATGTGTTGCTCTCATCTACTGCAAAGTTGGATTCTTAGAAATAAGCCAGTAACTGAGGCCAGGCATGGTGGCTCATGCCTATAATCTTAGCACATTGGGAGGCTGAGGCAGGTGGATTGTTTGAGCCAGGGAGTTTGAGAGCATCCTGGGAAGCATGGTAAAACATGGTAAAACCCGCATCTCTACAAAAAATACAAAACCTAGCCAGGCATGGTTGCACACACCTATAGTCCCAGCTACACAGGAGGTTGAGGCAGGAGGAGGTGGAGGTTGCACTGAGCTGAGATCATGGACTTGGTGACAGAGCAAGACTATGTCTCCAAAAAAAAAAAGAAAGAAAGATAAAAGAAATATGCCAGATATGCCAGTAACAGTACTTAGCACTTAGTATTTTAACCAGAGAAAGGTACAGGTTGGCAGAGTTTGCATGGATAAACTCCCTGTGTATTTCAAGTCCAGTCAGAAAACAGAAGCCACTCTACATATGTAAACTAGCAAAAAAGTTATACAAGAAAAGGTTGACACAATGAAAAAGAGATGAAAAGCTAAACAGGAAGTGTTTAATCAACCAAGATTAGCAGTAGCAAGAAATGACTACCATCCTTAGGCTGAAGTGATTGTGAAGGAAAAGACATCTATTGGAGTATGGGGCTGGAGTCAATTGGAAAAAGCTAGAATCAGAAGGAGATGGAGGAATAGAAAATGGAGCACCAGAGAGGACACCAGTGTTCTCTGAGAAACAAGAGGACAGAGAGATACTCCCCAGTGTCCTTTGTCCTGCCCACAGGACGAAGGCTTGATGTTGCACTTGGTCCAAACTCAGCTAGAAGTCAGTTACACAGCAAGCCTGGGAAATTTAGCCTGCAGGAATCAACTAGTAGGCCGAGAACCAATGAGTGAGTTCCCATTACCTCTCTGACTCCCAAACTCTTAGTCTATAAAATGGTGATAATACATATCTCTCAGTATTGCTGTATCAAATAGTATAAGCAAACTGTTTGAAACAGCAGTCATTCAACAATTCCTTCTTTTCTCCAAGTTTTGAATAGCTTTGATTTAGACACCTACTTCTTTATTAACAACGTGTTGCTTTCAATTGTTTACTCAAAACAACAACAAAATTGTATGCCTACAATGCCCAGACGGGATGGTGAATAACATATAGTCCCTGCACTTATGACGGAATGGTAGGGAAGACAGACAATGAAAAGCAAGCAGATAAAGCTGTCCAGAGCAAGGGGACAAGAAATAAAAGGACCTCCTCTTCCAAAAAGGTCTCCAGTGGAGGTAACAAGACCAGAGTATGACAAAGAATCTTGCTTAAAGAGCTGAGAAATTTGTGATATGTGCAGAAAATGACCTGTGGACAAGCCCAAGTTAAGAAAAAGGTGGAGGTTTTTTTCTACTTCGTTGTAGAAACTTTTTATAAAAGCCAGATTAAATGAGAGATTCAAGTGAGACTGTGAACTAGGAGCAGAAGCCTTCCAAGAAGGAAGGAGAGGAGATGCAAATGGGTGGAGCTCAGAAGAAGTATGTTGAAGGAACAGGTTTTTAAGTGCTGGGAAATGGCACTGGGTAACAAGGAGATACAAGGATGCTCTGAATCATGGTTTACTTAAATTGCTTGACAGGTTTCTATGATAACAGGGTAGGATATTTATTCTCTTCAGGGGTTAGGTAAGTCAAAAATCACATACAGTCAAAATTGCTTTTGAACATCCTTTAACTCTTAAATAAGTTAGTGTTTGGAAACTCAAACACTGAATTAATCTTATATGTGTCACTTGGACCTTGTGCTCTCGTTTCTCTTTCCCTGAGGCCTGCAACAGGAGAGGCCATGATTTGACAAAGAAAAAGACAAACGTACAACTAAAGAGATCTCTCTCACTCTTTCTCTCTTGCTCTATGTTTCTCCTTTACTCTCTGTTTTCTTCAAGTGGGACATAGGTAAATTCCAGTAAGTTAAACAGATGTTTGCTGTGCCAATGTCATCATGCCTTCATGTGGTTTAAAATGTTGGTAAGGCCAAATCCAAGTGAAATTAGGAAGTATTTTTTCTTCAAGAAACTCTCAGAGCACCTGTGACACAATTGTCCTCATGTTCCATCATCTTCATACTTACTCCCCAGTCCCTGCTGCAACACACACAAAGTAAGATTTATGCTTCCTTCCTCAATACTTTTGGCTACTTTGTCCTGTTTCCTCAGGAAAATTCTCAGGTGTGGGACAGGGGGTGGCAAGAGGCTTTACTGATGTCTCCCTTTCCAGATAACTGTGTTTTCTAGTTTGTTGACACCTGGCTGGAATTTAATTCAGCCCTAAAGGGTGATAATTTCTCAGCAAAAAGGATTGTCTTAAGGTTCCACAAATCCCTCTGTACTGGCAGTCATGTACTTATTCTGTGATTAGATTTCTGTGTGCCAGCTAAAAGAGACAAATTTGATGATGCTGACTGAAAAGATGAAACATTTCAATGTACAAATTTGATGCCTTAAACTATGCCAATTAAAATATCCACATGTCAAAATATACATTTCCAAAAGTTAAAAACATAATTCTCTTGCAAATCTTTGATGAATACATGCCAAAGAGGCATTTAACTCACTAATATTGGAAGTAACCAGGTCTGCAAAGTTGATTCAGAAGGAAATAGGAAAGGCTGTTCTGTGGACATGTGGTGAGTGGGTGGACATATGGTCAGCACAGAAAAGAATGCTGACGAAGGATGAAAAACTGAGGTACAAAACTCCCACATGACAATAAAATCATGATTGTTGATGTTATATTTTCTACTAAATAAAAGTTATTTGTTTCACTACTGGACAAAAGGTTGATTGCATTAAACCAGTCATCTCTAAATTAACATTATGATCAAAATTTATGGAATCTGGAGACTATTAAAAATAAATGACAGCTGGTCACAGTGGCTCACGCCTGTAATTCCAGCACTTTGGGAGGCTGAAGTGGGCAGATCACGAGGTCAGGAGATCGAGACCATCCTGGCTAACACGGTGAAACTCCATCTCTACTAAAAATACAAAAAATTAGCTGGGCATGGTGGTGGGCGCCTGTAGTCTCAGCTACTTGGGAGACTGAGGCAGGAGAATGGCGTGAACCTGGAAGGCGGAGTTTGCAGTGAGCCGAGATGGCACCACTGCACTCCAGCCTGGGTGACAGAGTGAGACTCCATCTCAAAATAAAATAATAATAAAATTAAAATAAATAAATGTCATTAAAAATTAAAATTTTTTTTAAAAAAATGTCAAATATGTGGTTTCCCTAAAGCTGTATTGGTTAATATGTAAGCCACTAGTCACATGTGGCTATAGAGCACTTGAAGTGTGGCAAGTCCACATTGAGACCTGCTACAAGTGTAAAGTACACACTGAATTTCAAAAACAGCATGAAAAAAAAAAGAATGTAAACTTCCCCACTAATAAGTTTCCATATTGACTACAGGTCAAAATAATATTTTTCATACATTGGGTTAAATAAAATATATTATTCAAATTAATTTCACCCATTTCTTTTAAAATGTTTTACTGTGGCTACTAGAAAATTCAGATTACATATAAGGTTCACGTTGTATTTCTGTTGGACAGATCTGGTAGGCTGGTAAGTCAGGGCTCTTACATGACTTTAAAAGAGCACCGAACTCTCTTGTTGTTAAATTTTGGATAGTTTTTATTACCAAAAAAAAGAAAGAAAATTGAAGCATCTCTGTTATACAAGTATGTTAAAATAGATTCAAAAATAAAAAGCTCTGCCCTTGATTTGCTGAGTGCCCTTGAGCAAGCATTGGTCTGTCTGTGATGGGAGAAGATTGTGTCAGAACGTTTGTAAGGACACTTCAAAGGCAAGCTTCATATGGCATTTTCTGCTCCTTTACTGTGAGCACAGGCCTAGTTATAATGTTAGACTTTGAGGATGAAAGCCAAAATCCAGTCTAGGTGAAGTGGCTCATGCCTGTAATCCCAGCACTTTGGGAGGCCGAGGCAGGTGGATCGCCTGAGGTCAGGAGTTTGAGACCAGCCTGGCCAACATAGTGAAACCCTGTCTCTACTAAAAATACAAAAAATTAGCTTGGCGTGGTGGCAGGCGCCTGTAATCCCAGCTACTAGGGAGGCTGAGGCAGGAGAATTGCTTGAACTCAGGAGGCAGAGGTTGCAGTGAGCGAAGATCATGCCATTGCACTCCAGCCTGGGCAACAAGAGTGAAACTCCATCTCAAAAAAAAAAAAAAAATCCATACCATCAGGTAATATATAAATCAAGGTTGACTTCTTCACAAACCAAGCAAATTACCAGGAAACCTTAGCTTGCTTTCATTTTCTTTTTCTTTTGCCTAAGACCTTTAATATTTGTAGCTTGGTGATCATTCTAAGAAAATACCTCCTCAGCAAACAAGTCAGATTAGTTAATCTTATTATTATCCCAATGTATTTATTCAACAATATTTATTGAAGTTCACTCTGAGACAGATATTACTGTAGGCATGAGGGACATTTCAAAGAACAGGGAAAGCTTGCTGCCCTCATAGAGTTTATAGTCTAGTGAAAGGAGATTGCCAATAAAAAATAATAAGCAAAACAAATGAAGAAATAAGCACATGATAGAGTAGGGAGGGCTGGGGACAGTCATGAGGTATTAAGGCTTCTTAATACTAGGTCAGGGAGGCTTTGCCAGTGAAGGCACACATGGGCAATGACCTGGAGGAAGTGAGGAGGCACACATGGACAATGACCTGGAGGAAGTGAGGAAGGGAGCCGTAGAACTCAGGGTAAACATTTAGGCAGAAGAAACTGCATACAAAACCCCTGAAGCCAGCAGCAAGGCTGATGTAGTTGAAGCAGAATAAGCCATGAGTGGGGAATTGGTAGGAGACAAAGTTGAAAAGGTTGGGAAGAGAGGAAAGCATTTTGTAGACACAGGATTTTTGTCTATTACTTGGCATGAGCTAGGAAGTCATTGGATAGTATTGGTTAGAAATGTAACAGCACCCAACCTTCCATTTTCAAAAGAGCATTCTAGCTACTGTATAGTGAATAGACTGAATAGATTGAAACAAGTGTAGAAGTAGAAGGACCAGTTAACAGCTTGTAGATATAATACACAAACAAGATTACAGTGGCTTGGACAGTGGTGATAGTAGTAGAGATAGCTAGACATAGTCAGATTTTAGATATATTTTGAACATAGATCAAGTAGGATTAGTAATAGGTTGAATATGGTAGAAGAGAAAGGGAAAGGGAATGTTTTAACCAGAGCAATGAAAAAATGGAATTACCACTTACTGACATGGGGTGGCCTATAGGAGAAGCAGGTTGGGGCAGGAATGTAGAAAATCAGTATTTGGTCTGGACATGTAAGCTTGAGTTACATATTATACTTGTAAGTGGAAATGTCAACTATACGGTTGAGTATATGAGTCTGGAGTTCAGCCGAGACCCCTGGGCTAGAAGTATAAGTTTGGAAGTGAGGGCATGTTGAAAGCCATGAGACTAGTTGCGCTCACCTAGGGAGTGAAGGAAGACATCTGAGTACTGTGTCATAGGGCCCTCCAATTTAGAGTTAGGAGAGATGAATAGAAACCAGCAAAGAAGATTAGGAAGAAATAGCTAAGGAAGAAGGGCACTGAGAGAGGGAGAGTGAGATAGAGAGAGAAATATGCCAGAAGTCAAGTGAAGAAAGTGGAAATAAGGAAATGATCACTCTATTAAATATTAGATGAGAACAGAGAATTGACCATTGCACTTGGCAATTACAGGTCATTGGAGACCTTGACAAGAGCTGTTTCAGTGAATTAAAAGCCTGATTGTCATGGGTACTGAAAAATATTAGAAGAGAGGAATAGAGATAGCAAACATAGATAACATTATCAAAAAATTTACTGGAACAGAGGACTGGGAAATGGGGCAGCAACAAGAAAGGTGTAGATAAGAGGTTTTATAGCATATTGGTATGATATTGAGAATGATATAGTAAAGAGGGGAAATTGATGATGCCACAGAGAATAGACAGTTGCTAAACTAATGTATTTGAATTGGCATGAAGGGTTGGGAGCTAGTGCCCAAATGAAGGGATTGACCATAGATGAGTTGGTGGTTATTCTATCTACGGGTGATGGGGGAAAGGCAAATATATTAATAAGTCAGTAGAAGTGGTTTTGGGAGCATATGGAATTGTATCCTTTGGTTTCTTTGATTTTCTATAGAGGAAGAAAGGCCAGCTATTCTGATTGGAAAGCGAGGAGGAGGTACTGGTGGTTGAAGGAGAGAGATGGCATAAGATGGCCATCTGTGAAGGTGTAAGAGAGAATGTACTAGGAAAATATGGTGGGTGAATCTACTGGGGAACATTGAGGGCCCATTTGAGAATGAGAGTCACAATATTGGAAGGTAAAGGGGACAAGAAATTGCAAGAGAATGGTTGAATCAATATACTGCAGCACTGTCATTAGGTTCATATTGATAGTGGAAGGAAGCAGACAAATGCCTAGGCAGATAGGAGTGGGACCCCTATGAAACCCCAACTCCAAACCAAAGACAGTTTAAAGCCTGAAAGCCAAGCTATAATTCAAATCCAGGGAAAAGATTGAGAACCTGTCTTCCCTTTTGGCATGCTTTCCTCTGATTGATCCCCAGCCTTCACCTATTTTACATATACCTACCCTTCCCTAATTGTTTTTTCACACTGCCATGCCCACCTTTGAGTGCTGCCTTTGTTTTTAACCTTTTTTGCATACTCACAAACCAATCAGGATGCACTCCCCTATTATGAGCCCATCAAAGTTCTGGACTCAGCCACACTGGGAGAGAAACACCCAACTCCAGGTGGCTGACCACCCTCACGACCCTTCTTGGCTAAAAGCTGTTTCATCCTCAACAAAATTCTTCTCTGCCCTCCTCACCCTTCAACTGTCAGAATATCCTCATTATTCTTGGACATGGGACAAGAACTCAGGAACTGCTGAACGTGGGTATGAGCTATAGCACAGGTGGACTGGAGCATGCTTGGCCCAGCTGCAGGCTCAGCTGGTGCACAAGCCAGGCACAGCCTGGGTGGGTTGAGTGGGCAGCTGCCTCCAGTGGCAGGGAGCATGGCCGAGTGAGGCCCAGGCAGGGGCATCACTGGCTGGAGGTCCCTGGCTTACAAAGTAACTAAGAAAACTCCTGTGTCAATATTGCCCACAGCATCTCAACTTTCATGAAGCCCCCAGGGATTTACCCCAAATGAAGGGAATCGCCTAAGATCCTGGACATTGATTCCAAAGTTTTCTTGTAGGGCAGTGTGACCCAAACCAGAAAACACAGCAGGACATAGCATACACGTTTAGCAAGAGGCAGATCCAAATAAGTTGCCAAGGTGGAACCAATAACGGGAGGATACAAGAGACAGAAGGAGATTGAAGTGACCTCAATAAAAAGAGATGGAGCAGCAGGAAGAAAGTCTGCTTGGTAACTAAGAGTGGAGCTTTGAAGGGCTGCAACTGGGCAAAGAAAACAAAATCAGAGAAAGCAGTATAGCAGATGGTTAAAATCCTAGGGTGCAAAGTCAGTTATATCTGGTCCAGGAATTGGTGGTTAACTATTAAAAAAAAAGTATTTCTCAACAATGACATCCTTTCCTCTCTGAGGTAAAACCACTTTTGAAAAAAGTATATCAGTGAGAAAATTATGACACTGAAAGAGATCTGAGCTAGTCCACCCCTATCTTGCCTTTCCTTTAATTATTCCTGGGCTATTGGGCAAAGCTAACTTTGGAAGACATTCAGGCTATAGTTTAAATGATAATGGGCTTTGCCCTGAAACTCAACCACTTTTGTAAAGCTAATGGGAGGCCATCAGACTGGGGTAGGAGAGGAGCATGAGTCTTGCTAAGGCAGAGACATAAATGATTGTCAGCCTTTATTCTGGAGGTTATAAGATAATGCAACTTCCCTAATTACTCCTGCAAATAACATCACTATCATAGAACCAAAGATGGGCCTTTTGAGATATCTTTTCAGGAATTTTTGCATGTCTGAAACTCATGGCTCTACCTGAACCTGCCAGCCCTACTACTGTGGCCCCACCCAGAAGCTATTCCGCCCACAGGAGGACAGCTTTGACTCCCTGTGATTTCATCTTTGCCCCAACCAATCAGCATCAAGCACCTGTTACCTGGCTACCCCTATAAATTTCCCCAAACTGCCTTTGAAAAACCCCTAATCCTAGAGCTTTGGATGTGATGATTTGAGTACTAATTCCATCTCCCATGTGGTTTGGCTGACCTCTTGTCTGTTAAACTCTTTCTTTACTGCAATGCCTGTCTTTATTCAGCAGGCAGGGAGAATCCCTTGAGTGGTTACAGAAGCTAAACTATTCTTTTCTAAAAGGAAGATCACTACCCCTGACTAAGAAAACAGCAGCCATCACAGAATGATTTCCCAATCAGTACATTCTAATAGTTTGATGGACTTTGAAGGCTGTGGATTGTCTCCACTGATGTCCATGTTGCAGATTCCATAGTTAAAACACATTATACATGGACTGGGGCCAAAAACACTGAGGTTTCTTTGGAGATTCAAATTTTGATAGAAAGATTACCACCTCTAGGAATTAAATCCACTTCACTGGGCAAAGATTAGTCATTTAAATGTGAGAAGATTAATATTTATGATTTCCAATGATAGTGATAAAATGGAGAATGAATGAGTGTAACAGTCAAAATGATTTTTAATCCTGGTTTCAGTTTGCTTTATTTAATTTTTATGCATCTCAGCTTTCTCTTCTACATAAATGGGGTAATAATCTTTATCTATAAAGTTATGTTAAAAATTAGATCCTGTGACATACATGAAAGCACCTATCACAGTACCCAGAGCTCAGTGAGTGCTCTGAAAACGGTTTGTGTTCTTTGCTTTCCTTTTCTTTTTACTCCTTCCCTCCTTCCCTTGTTCTCAAACTATCCCTTCCCTTTACCTCCTTTTCTTCCTTTCCTTTTTCAGACACTAGATCTCATGATCAAAATGTCTATATGTTGTATATCCAGGAACACTGATTTATTTATATTATTTTTCCCTTTCCCCCGACCTTTCAGTAGAAAGTGTGAAAAATGTCTAAATTCATATACTGATAGGAAACATGAGCCTACTATTTTTCACACAATTCCATTGCTTTGTTTCCACTTGCATTTGACTTTTCTTAATCAAATTTGTTTTGTTTTATCTCTGCCCCTGTGAATTAGTATGACCTCCCAGAAAGTTCTCCATTGACCCAATTTTTGTGATTGTTGTTTCAAAGTGAGAGGGTGAAGTAAGGATACATTTTCTACAATATATCAGGTACTTTCTTGTAAGATGACAGAAGCTTTTTTTTTTTTTTTGATAGGCTATTACATTTTTGTATATTGCTTTATAAATATAAGATCTTGTTTATCTCAAAATATCTCAAGTCTGAAAAAAAAAGCTTCCTTTAGTAGCTACCTTGAAAGTAAATTGTCTCTCCTTCTTGTCTACATAATGCATGTTGCTTTTGTTTGGACAAAAAGTTCTTGAACTCTTAACAGCCACATCAGCTTTCTCATCAGCCTGGCCTTCCATCATCTCAGAAATACCACAAGGTTGTGACACTACCTCTCACAGCAGGAAGAGTAATGGCCTTTGTTGTCGCTTCTTATCTAAATTGTCAAATTCTCTTTGTTGAAAATCTTCCAGTAGCCTGTACTTAGCTTGATTCAAATAATTTTATTCAAAATTCTAGACCATCTCAGATTTAATAAAATATTTTATAATATTATTATCTATGGTTTAGAATGTTTATTTTAATTTAAAAATGTGGATAAAAAGCTGTCTTAGGTAATTCTTGCCTTCTTCAAGCGCATGAGTAAAATAAAGCTTTGCATTTTCACAGACATTCCCCCCAAAATGATGCACTGCTTTTTTACAGAAAATGCAAAAAATAAATTATATATAAAAGTGTAAAATTGTATTAAAATAACATTTTGTCAAGATTATCATTCTTAAATAGTTTTTCTATAAAGAGTTGACTTTTATGACTACATTGCCAGGCATTGTAATATTGAGAATGTAAGAAAATGGACATTGTAAAAGCAAAGATCTGTACTCAGTTTTATGAGAAACCATCAATTAATTGTTCAAATAGGTTATGAGGTAATAAAGTAAAATACAATATAAAATAGTAGAAAATGAGCTTTTGTAATATAGTTTTTTAAATGTATAGGCAATTTAAACTATTCTGGAGAAAAAGAAACCAGCGTCTGTTTTAGGGCATTTTGCTCCAAGATCTAATCAGCATTAGCATTAAGAATATGAAATACAAATTTGCAGAATTTCAATATGAAGGCTTCAAATGGGCTGAAATATTGCAGTCTTTGTAGATGCCTGCATTCAAGGGTCCTTGTTGCTCCAGGCAAGGAAAAGGTGACTGAGAAAGAAAGGAATAAAATACCAGAAGAAAATTATCTTACTTCCTTTTGTGACTCACGGACAAAGACGGGAATGATCTGTAAACTGGTAATGGTGTGTCATTCCTAGAAGACTGACCTGCTCATTCAGGCAAACTGCTCTTCTATAGAAACCATATGGCTGGCATTAGATATTGATCATGTACAGGAAACATCAGGCCTGTCCAAGGTGTAACCTTTATGCTAGTCTTTTTTTAGAAGTTCATTCTTAGTTCTTTTCTTAAATGAAATTTAAATTAGCCAGTCATTCTTGGAGTACTTTAAAATATGTTTAAATATGTTAAAATATGTTTTCTGCAAAACAAAAATGCTTTTCCTTTGGGAAAAAGACAAATTAAAAAAAAAAAAAAACATCACCAACAACAAAAACACACCTCCTTTAAATCCTAAAACTATTACCTGCTGAAAAACATTACCATTATCTCCATTATCCATACAGAAAGATCATGTATCCATGTTGCTCCCAGTTTTAATCAATGAGTTTAAAGCTAAAGCCAGTTTTGCTCTCTTCAAGCAGTCTGTTTAAAAATAACCTTGAAAGAGTAAGAATAATTGTGGGGTTTTACAAAAGGTTTTGACTTTCTCTTCCCTGAGAGGGCAAACCTTGCCAAAAAGCCAAAGGTATGAAATTTGTTGAAGGCTTATAAAAATATTAGTGTTTAATGCCAACATGGTGTGGATTTGTTTATCCAGTCACTCCATCAGGGAATTAAAATGGATAAGAAGCCTGTTGGAGGAGAGGGACTGACATCAGGAAGCCTGTCAATGTTAATTCCCTGGAAGTCAGTGAAGGGAGATTGGCAAGAGGATTTGTTTCATTCATGTGCTCTTTCATGCACAAAACCTCCTTGGCTCTGCAAGCAATATTTCTCTCAGACATGGAAGAGAGAGTTGACCATAAAATTTGGTGGTCCTTTTATTTTGGAGAAATAGGTGATTTATTCTAGTTTAAGTATGTAATCCTAAAATATTTGTAAAGCATAATAACACCGGGCCTGCTTTACATGTTGTCCGAAACCCAAGGTTTAAAACTGTATTTCCTTTAAAAACTTTCCTAACTTCATTAAAACTTTTAACTTTTCCTAACTTCATGAAAACATTTAAAAACTTTCCTAACTTCATTAAAAGTTCTGTGATTGCTTAGATAGGACTACATATCTGGGATATGCTTTATTTTTCAAGAAAACATTTACAAGAACAAATAAATCCATAGTCAGCAGATGTCAAGAAGTCCGGAATTATGTTTGGGCAGTCAGCCATTTCTTTGTCCTTTTTTGTTTTGCTTTTGAATTTATTCTGATGAAACTATAATTCAGTCTAACACTGGTTTGAATTCCAAGAGATTTTAAAGTTTTTCACTAACTATAAATTGTCTTTTTTATATTTTATGATAGTTCAGTTGCCAGATTTAGTTGTGTTTGGTAGGATAGTTTGGTGTAGACACTGCCATTATAAAATTCAGCCTTAATACTCTAGGCACCAAGACTGTGACTCCCACGCCCTAGTAAGGTGTACATGATTCCTCTCAGCCAAGAGAAACCATGTTTTTTTTTCTTCTGTCCCCAGAACCTCGGTTTTTATTTTTAGAATGCTCTTAAATATAGTTAGCTAAGTAATAACTAAATTTTTATAATTTTAGAGTCAAGAAACTTCCACTCCCAAAATGGAATGCCTGGCATAGATAGCTTCAAATATTTTAATTAGATGGTCAGTCCTACACAAACACAAATATAATAGGATATTTTAGCCAGTTGCTTGCCAGTGTAGAAAATACCATACATGTACTACATGCACACTCTTAGATATGCCCTCTCCACATACATAACATGTATCAGCCTCCATTCTTGTGTTAGTGTCCATGAGAGTTTTTGTGGGAACAATGTTTACACTGATAGTTTTGTGAAATCTTGGAACTATTAGGTTGGTGCAAAAGTAATTGCATTAAAAGCAATGGTAAAAATTGCAATTACTTTGCACCAACCTAATAGATTACAATGTGAAAACCATGAGAGGGATAGTGAAGATATTTCCTTCCCCAGGAATTTGAGTCTGTTTTCCAGCCTTTGGAGTGTTAAAACCAAAATCTTATAGCTCCCCTCAAATGGTGGTTGTGTGACCCCAGGCCCAAAGAGAGGTGCCCATGGGGACCCACGTGAAAAACTGAGGCTCAGGGATAAGTTAGAATGCCCACCCCATGCCCACCCCTTGTATCTCTGCAGACAGCCCTGCCCTAATCTGGAACCTGGATGCCAAAAACTGTGGCAGGGTGCAGAGTCGCAGTCTTGGCTTAGATAGACACTGATGACCGCATGATGAGCAGCCTGGCACATTGAGGCTTTTACCAAGGATCTTGGATGATCCTAATATTCTAGAGCTGGGGTTGGCAACCATTTTCTGTAAAAGGCCAGACAGTAAATATTTTTTGTTTTTATGCCACATGCTATCTCTGTCATGTTGTTGCCTCTTCCTCTTCCCCATCTTCCTTCTCATCTTGTTCTTTAAATAAACACTTTAAACTTAAAAAAAAACTCTTTTAGATTGCAGACTGTACAAAAACAGGCCATGGCTGTGTTTAGCCAATTTCGTAGTTTCCCAACTCCTATCCTAAAGGGTAAGTGGAGAATGGACAAATCATCTGGAAAGAGAACACTATATTTGTGAAGATATGCTAACTGCTCATAAACAATTCTCAAGCCTCATAACTTACCAAAATTAAGAATTACTATTTACTCCCATCCTTGTTGAATGTGGAGGTTGGCTAGGGTGGAGGCAGTGGGAAGCGGGTTTCTGTGCCCCATATAGTCACTTGGGTACCCAGGTTTCTTTTATCAGTGACTCTTCTATCACCTAGAGCCTCCATAACTTCCATTGAATGCTTTGCATCTGGCTAACAGAGAAGGGAAACAAGAGAAAGCAGATCTGGAAATAAACTTTAGACACTCAATTTGTAAATGTTGCAGATTGTTGAACTCTGTCTCCTTGCTCCACTTAACAGAGAAAAAGGCTGGAAAAGATAATGTCTCACGTCAGTGAGAAACAGAGGCAAACATGGATTTTAGAGATGACTAGCAACCTCTGAAGCAGTGACAAGTAGACTGGCAGCAGTAGTACACAGATGTCTGTAGGTATTCAAGGTGGGAGGGACAAGGGAGGGAGAAAAAAGAACAGAAAGAAAGGGAGTGAAGACAAATCTCTACCTATTTAGCAGTAATCTTAGAAACTACCTCCATTTGCATACCATATGCAAGGATGCAAATATCACCTGAAAATTTGGAATTACTGTTGATAGACAAATGATATGTATATTGAAGTCAAAAAGTTAGAAAGTAGTGGTCTTCAACTTCAAAGTTTCCATGAGCAATTTTTCCAATTCAGAATGGAAGTTGGGGTTAAGTTGAGATAAACAATCCTCAACATTATTTTATTTTGATCAGGGTATTAATAAAGTTTGATATTTTTTCCAGCATTTAAAGCCTATTGTTTCTTTTACTAATTGCCCTTCCCAATGGGTTGGATATTTTGTTTACAAATCTTATTTGTCATTACACATGAATATTTTAATTTTACCTCATTTTCTTAGTCAACAGGAAATGACCTTTGTTTGACATTGTTTATCTTGTTGTAAATTGTACTCAGATAACTTCCATTAATTTCAATGTAGAAATTTCAGCAACGATAGCAGAAATTTACACTTATCAAACTATAGCTAAAGCAGAATGTTCTATGTAAGCATTTGCTAGTAGTAGCAGCACATAAATCAGTACAATTATCTAGAATGCTACTAGTCCCAAGTCCTTTTAAAGGAAAAAAAGTTTATCAGTCAACATTTTCACTGGGTTATGTATATTCCCTAAGACAGAATTTACTCCTTTTGACTTTCAAGAGCCAAAGATATCTTTCTAAGCTAACAAAACTCAGTGACTTCAAAAGATACCTTGAAATGAGTGCTTATTTTCTGTAAGCTGCTATAACCATTTGAATTACAAATCTATCAGGAGGATCACTTTTGTTCTATTTGTAAAGAGAAGTATAACCAAACCTCACATCTCCATCCACAAGCTCTGCTTCAATCCATGGGCCTTGGATGCCTGTGCAATTGAGGCTTCCTTTGGCTCCAGAGCCCAGTGATCACATATAAAGCCCTGGAAGTGTGTGTAGTTCAGCAGCCAAATCTAAAATCATATAAATAACTAGTGTTTAAAATATCTGGCTGGGGGCCATAAACTATGTCTGACAACTAAATCTTACAGTGGATTATAATAAAATAGAAAACTCACACACCTCATTTCATGGTTGGTATTACTAATTTTATATATGTTATTTCACTTCATTCTTTAACACACTTTTTTTCTCAGAAAGCTAGTTATGATAAATCAGTTTCAACCTTCATAAATGTGTCTTGGAGCCACTGTTAAAACGTAACTTTTTGTTGATTCCTGTAAATCCTCTACAACTATTTCTGGCCTGATATGGTTTTGTATCCAGAAAGCAGTCCCAATCTAGACCCCAGAAGAGGCTTCATTGATCTCACACAAGGCAGAATTCAGCGGGGGAGATTCCAAAATGGGTGAATAAGAACAGCTCCAATCTACAGCTCCCAGTGTGAGTGATGCAGAAGATGGGTGATTACTGCATTTCCAACTGAGGTACTGGGTTTATCTCACTGGGGCTTGTCGGACAATGGGTGCAGCCCACGGAGAAGGGTGGGGCATCGCCTCACCAGGGAAGCCCAAGGGGTTGGGTAATTCCCATTTCTAGCCAAGGGAAGCTGTGACAGACGGCACCTGGAAAATCGGGACACTCCCACCCTAATAGTGTGCTTTTCCAATGGTCTTAGCAAATGGCACACCAGGAGATTATATCCCATGCCTAGCTCAGATGGTCCCATGCTCACAGAGCCTCACTCACTGCTGGCACAGCAGTCTGAGATTAAACTGCAAGGTGGCAGTGAGGCTGGGGGAGGGGTGCCCACCATTGCTGGGGCTTGAGTAGGTAAACAAAGTGGCCAGGAAGCTCAAACTTGGTGGAGCCCACTGCAGCTCAAGGAGGCCTGCCTGCCTCTGTAGGCTCCACCTCTGGGGGCAGGGCATAGCTGAACAAAAGGCAGCAGAAACTTCTGCAGACTTAAACGACCCTGTGTGACAGCTTTGAAGAGAGTAGTGGTTCTCCAAGCATGGAGTTTGAGACCTGAGAATGGACAGACTGCCTCCTCATGTAGGTCCCTGGACCCCGAGTAGCCTAACTGGGAGACACCACCAAGTAGGGGCCTACTGACACCTCATACAGCAGGGTGCCCCTCTGAGTCGAAGCTTCCAGAGGAAGGATCACACAGCAAAATTTGCTGTTCTGCAATATTTGCTGTTCTGCAGCCTCCACTGGTGATACCCAGGCAAACAGGGTCTGGAGTGGACCTCCAGCAAACTCCAACAGACCTGCAGCTGAGGGTCCTGACTGTTAGAAGGAAAACTAACAAACAGAAACGACATCCACACCAAAACCCCATCTGTACTTCACCAACATCAAAGACCAAAAGTAGATAAAGGTAGATAAAACCACAAAGATGGGAAGAAACCAGAGCAGAAAAGCAGAAAATTCTAAAAATCAGAGCGCCTCTTCTCCTCCAAAGGAACGCAGCTCCTCACCAGCAATGGAACAAAGCTGGATGGAGAATGACTTTGACAAGTTGAGAGAAGAAGGCTTCAAATGATCAGTAATAACAAACTTCTCCAAGCTAAAGGAGGATATTCGAACCTATAGCAAAGAAGCTAAAAATCTTGAAAAAAGATTAGATAAATGGCTAACTAGAATAAACAGTGTAGAGAAGACCTTAAATGACCTGATGGAGCTGAAAACCATGGCAGGAGAACTACATGACAAATGCATAAGCTTCAGTAGCTGATTTGATCAAGTGGAAGAAAGGGTATCAGTGA